>NC_000015.10:92501884-92653399 GCF_000001405.40 Homo sapiens | reverse complement strand
TGTGTATTTTTTTTAGAAGGTATTTGAACAATTTTGCTAGTCTGCTGTTTATTACTCAGGAGTAGGGGAGAAAAGAAGGCAGCATGCACCCAGATGTGAGGGGTGCGAGACTCATGTTGGAGTGGGTAAGCCAGCACTCTAGCCTGGAAGAGATGGGTCTTTAGTAGCTTGGGTGTGGAGTGTTGAAAGAAGTTTACGACTTCATAGGAGAAGCTGGTTATGGACATGATCTGCGTCTCTTCCCAGGAAGGCAATCTTGTTAGGGTGAGTTTTCAGGTGGACAGCTGCCACCCCAGATTCTGATCTAGAGAGGACTTTGTAATATTTTACAGCTTGCAAGGGCCCTGATGGTGCACAGTCCCCATGTGTTTCTTTGCAGTTGAGAAAGTTGCATCCCAGGAAGTGGAATAAGTCATTGCTAGATTCTAGAACACTCTGCAAGTCTGTGTAGCCAAGGCAGGGCCAGCACCTCATCTGTGCTATTCGGTCTGTACTGTGGCCTTTCCCCTGTCCCACGCTCCCCTGTAACCTTGGTTAGTCAGCTAACCAAATGCCTGCTCTGCTGGCTGGGGGCCCTCCTTCCTTTCTCCCTCTGCAACTCCTTAGCCTGCGGGCACCGAGTCCTGGAAATTCCACCACCTGAGTCTCCAAGAGACTGTCTCACCTCTGCCCACACCACCTTCCCCAGTGAAGCTTCGCCACCTGCCGCCGTTTCTACCTTGTCGCTCCTGAATTGCAATAATATCTGTTAAGCTGGGGTTCGTGCCTCCAACCTTGTCCCTCTCCAGTCTGTCCTCCCTCAACTGCAGGAATGCCTGTCTCATCCTTCTTCTACCCCTCCCTGCCAATTCTCCCTGCATACAGACTCCTTGATGTGTGGGCAAGGCTGACTCTTCAGATCAGGGTGCTGCCTCCCTCCTGAGCCCCCATCTCGGCTCTGCTCAGTGCGCCTCCTGCTTTGCTGGACTTCCTGGGGTTCTCTGGAGGCACTGCGTGGCCTGAGCATCTTGTCCCACTCTACCCCTCTGCCTGGAGTCCCCTCTGTCACTAAGACTGCGTGGTCAGTTCGGTGCTGTTTGACCTCGTTGCTGTTGCCTCCTCTGAGAAGCCTCTGCAGCTAGGGCCCCTCTGTGCTTCCAAAGCACACTCGATTTTTGAATTCCCTCTTCAGAGTCAAGTGCCACCGAACTTCTTCTGAGCAGGACTAGGCATTAATCTTCTGTGTTTCCCTAATACCTAGTGTGGTTCCAGGCACAAGCTGGCATTTAATAAAGATATTTTTAGCAAAAGAATGTTGAGCTCTCAAGGATTTTACATTGCTGATGTCTCTCAAAATGTGCTAGACTAGCTGCATGACTGATGCTGGATACCTGCGAGGTAGGAATTTGTACAATGTAGATAAAGGAGAGTGTAGTAAGTATGATTGCGTATAAAATGGCAGTCCTAGCCTATTTCTCTGTTTTCTCTGAAGGAGTCACCTTACCAGACAACAGAAAAAAATTGGATCCAAGGAAATTAGAAGCAAAGAATGTGTCTTTTAATGAAAAAGATGTATACTTTTAATCAAGTGATTCCATTCTTAAAGTATGTACATTTTCCACTGCACTATATATTCTTTGCTTCTAATGTGAATGATTAGAAGAGAAAGCCAAGATGCAAGTGCAATGATATTCAGAGAAGCTCTGTTTGATAGTGAAAAGGTTTAAATAATCCAAGTGTCCAACAACTGGGCATTGGTTAAGCAAATCATGGCAATCTTTATGGCAGAATACTGTGCAGCTGTTCAAAATGATGACATTGAGATAATACTTGCTATATATTTTTGAGTCTGAAACAGGTCACAAAGTGACATGTATAGTATTAGCTCATTTAAATAAATTATAAACATGTATATACGAATGTGCAGATAAATCTGTGTGTCTGTGCATGTGGGTGATTATCATATTTTTTTATTATTCACGATATGTTTCTGCATAGTTTGAATTCTTTTACAATCCAGAAGCATGTAGTTATGATGTGTGTATGTTGAGTATCCCTGTGTGTATACTCAGCTCCTGGCCGCATTCTTGGATGTGTCTTTCTGAGGACCAGTATGAGAGCATCTGGGGTGTACACCTGGGAGTGGGGCTTCTGGATCCTAGGGGGTGCTCATTCTTGATTTCCTTGAGCAGGCACCAGTGTAGGTTTCCATCTGCAGAGCCTGAGGGTTCTCAGATTCTCACATCATATCCAACACTTAGTATTATCTTACTTTCTAATGCTTTCCAATCTGATGGGTATAATTTGGTATTCATTGCTTTATTTTGTATTTCTTCATTTTCTACCATAGTTGAGCCTCTGTCTCTTCCAAATGTTCTCCTTAATCAATCTGATTTCCCCATCTGTAGAATCACGTCCACCTTTTTAAATGTATTTCATCATTAAGGCAAACCATTTTTAGACAGGAGACAAAAATCGGAAGGAGGGAAAGCTGGCTGGAGACCGAGGGCCCTTTGTTGGGTACCTTCACATGTGTGAGAGTGGTCCTACAGGTACCTGGTGTGGTGAACCCCCTGGGTCTGCTACTTGGCAGGTTTATGGGAGCTGAAAGGGAATCAGCAAAGAGGCTGTCTCTAGGAAGTAGAAAGCTGTGATTGCTCCTAATTTTTTGGTATTGGGAAACAACTGGTGATGTTGCATGGATTCAGGATAATACACATAAGCCAAGGACTGCTGGTATCAGTACCTTTTGCCCCCTACATTCACTCAGAACACTTTATTGTCTGAGTTCTGGAAGGAATCTGACTTTACGCTCTGGTGTCTCATGAGCAGAGCGGGGGCAAGTCAGGAAAACCCTGCCACCTCGAAACCACAACGTTCCTTTCATCCTGGGGATCCTTTCCCAGTCTTGGAGAGTCTCCGAACTCCACGGTGCAGGCTCCAGTTCTCTAGATGTCTGTTGGCTGCATGCCCAGCCACTTCTTACTTCAAAATCTCTGTAAAATCCTCTTATCTGAAAGGAGGCTTCTTTTTGGTGCTTCCCGAGGGATCGGGAGGTTGAATTCTAAGCGGTCTGACATTGCCCAGCTGTCAGTGGGAAAGGTGCACACTGCTATGCCCTGAAGACATTGGAACCACAGATGCTTTGTTAATTTTACTAAGCCAGGTCTTTGAAAAGGAACGAGAACTTTCCTACTTATCTTGTATTTCCTAAATTCTCTATTGTGTGTGTATTTACATTTGTTATAAGAAAAGTTATTTAAAAGAAAATATAAAAGCTTAATACTTTTAGCATTTAGGGAAAGTTACCATTTAAAAATTTTTTTGTCATTGCTTATTATTTCATGGTATATCAATATTATTTTAGTAAATTGGAGTTTTGGGTGGAGCCATGGTTAGAAGGTCCAGCCCCATTTTGATTTGAGAGAGGTTGTGGGACTTGTTAGCATCAGTCGGTCGTTTCTCATTGCTTCCCCAAGGCTTTGAATTGAAGGAAAAAACTATAGAAGTGACAAATGTTCATCTTCTTTCATGTTTGATATTATATGCCACAGTGAAGAAGTGTTAAGCAAATCGGATACAGCCAAAATCCAGATTCTTTAAAAAAGAGAGTAGAGAGCAAGCCGAAGGATTTTGCCTCCTGGTGTTATTTGGTCATATCTGGAGACATTTTGGATTGTCAGGATGGGGAGCCCCAAATGTCAAGGGTGCCAGAGTTGAGAGATGCCGAGAATCTCGGCTTCAAGGCCTGCTGGTTGTCTGATATGGGCAGTTTATTGAACCTTTCTGGGCACCATTTCTCATCATTAATTAGAGTACATGCTTCCAAGGGCTATTGCAGGTTTAGAATGAGATTGTGTCAACTAAGTCTCTGGCTCCCCTTTAAGCAGTCAAGTGTCCTATTATATTGAAAAATACGATTCTGAAAACAGATGTAATTTACACCCAACCTTTTGGTCTTGCTTCTGTCCATAAATGAGGATGCAGCCATATGGCCACAATTATCAGGCAGGTGCATCTGTTTCTGAGGCTCTTTGAAATGAAATTGCTGACTCTTTAGCCCAAGTGAGCCTCCTTGACTACTCAATTCCCTGATGAAGGAGGCGCCTCATGACTGCCCCCATTAACAGGACTGTGAAGACCTGGCACCTGACGTGGATTCCTTCTATCAAATTGGAAAGGGAAGAAAATCCCTCTTTAATTTAAGCCTGAGCCTCCTGACTTATATGGCATTACCCATAGACTTTCATGCCCATGTAGGCTTTGTGTATGGGTGTCTTTGCAAATGCAGGTTCTTCTTGAGACACCAGGCAAATCTAGGGTAAGCAGTGGGGACTAAGGGAACTCCAATGTCAGTATCTGTAGAGCATCCTGTAGGGCGAGTGTCAAGAGAGGGAAACACTCCTGGATTTAAGCAAAGAAGCCTTCATGGATTGTGTTAGTACTTTAGTTTTATGACTGAGGTTTTGGGTCTAACCATTTGCAAAGGGAAATCCTGGGACCATGAATTTAGGATCATGTTATTATTGTTTCACTTAAAAAATAAACTATACTTAATCTAAGGGCAATCTGCCAGGAATCTAGATTTGCTATTTATTTTCCTGAGGGTGCGGGGAGGAGGAAACCCTTTCTCACGGGCAGGTGTGGCACAGAGGAGGGACCATGGCAAAGTGCTTGGGCAGGGCTCTTGTAGGCCTGGCAGAGCCCTTCTAGACCCCTCCCTCTCAGGTAGGCGTTTCTTTGCATTCAGAGCTCCTTCCGCCTACCTCCCTACACTCATTGTACAGATGAGAAAACTGAGGCCCAGAGTGGGGAGGCTTGGTGAAGGTCACTGAGTGAGTTTGTAGGAAAAATAGGACTTAAACCTAGGGGCTTGGATGCTCAGCTTGGCCCTTTTTGGACCTCCAAGATGTGGTGGGCTGAGTTTGGCCCTGTCCAGCGAGGTCTCCCCAACACTGAACCCAGCACCTAGGAGCAAACACGGCTGAGTAAACAGTGTTCTTCCCAGGGTGTTTAATTAGCACCCACTGTGAACATAGAGGTGCCATGGAACACATCAGAGGTCAAGGACCATCCAGCTCAATCTAAGGCATAGGATAATGCCCTTTGTTGACAAAAACCCCAAACTCTACAAATATTTAAAGAGGTTTATTGTGAGCCAATATGAGTGACCATATTGACCTGGGGAACAATATCAAGAGGTCCTGAGAACGTGGGCCCGAGGTGGTCAGGTTTCAGCCTGGTTTTATACATTTTAGGGAGATAGAAGTTACAGGCAAAGACATGAATCAATATATGGATGGTTTACTTTGGTTCAGCCCAGAAAGGCAGGGCTTCTTGAAGTGGGGCTTATAGACCATAGGCAGATTCAAAGAGGTTTTGATTGGCAGTTGCTTGAAAGAGTTAAGCTTTGTCTGAAGACTTGAAGTCAATAGAAAGGAATGCTTGAGTTAAGATAAGGGGGGTTGTGGAGACCAAGGTTCTTGTTATGTAGATGAAGCCTCCAGGTAGCAGGCTTCAGAGAGAATAGATGGTAAATGCCTCTTTTCAGATCTTAAAAGGTGCCAGACTTTTAGTTAATCTCTCCTAGATCCACCAAAGGCCTAGCTGCATTAATGAAGATTCTCTATAGATGCAAAAATTTTCCCACAAAAGATGGCTTTGCAGGGCCATTTCAAACCATGTCACAGACATTTTTGGGTAAAATTTCATTTCCTTCAGGGCCTGCTGTCTGTCATGTGATGCTACACAGAATCAGGTTGGAATTTGGTATCTTATTGCCACAAAGAGCCTTGTTTTGCCAGTCTTATGATCTCTATTTCATTATTAATGCTGGTCATTTGTGCCTAAACTCCAAAAGGGAGGGGTATAATGTGGCGTGTCTGACCTCCTTTCTTGTCTAGGCCTGGAATTTAGTTTTTCAGGTTTCTCTGGGGTCCTCTTGGCCAGGTCTCTTCAACTGGCTGGGGGGCTTAGAATTTTATTTTTGGCTTATGGCTTGAATGATTCTACTTGGCAGATAAGGAGCCGTCCAATCCCACAGGGGAGCCATGTATTAAAAGCAATGCTAGGTAAACTGAGAAAGGATGGGTCAGGGACCAGAATGGTCTGGGAAGGCATGGTGGAGGAGGAGGACGATTAGGACTTGGCAGGATGGGAGGAAGAAGAGGTTCTTCCAGGACCAGATGGGTGAAGCAAGCTTTGCTGAGGGTAGGGTTTGTGAAATCACTTGGAAATTGTGATGTTGATGACAATAATAGCAACTAGTATTTATTAAGCCCTTACTGTGTAACGGACTCTGTGATAAGCATTTTATATGTTTTCCTCACTCCTATGAGTGGTGCACTGTCAGTCCTGTCGACAAAAAGAGTCAAGCTCTGTAAAATATTTAAAGAGATTTATTCTGAGCCAAATATGAGTGGCCACTGGCCCATGACTCAGCCCTCAGGAGATCCTGAGAACATGTGCCCAAGGTGGTTGGGGTACAGCTTAGTTTTATACATATTAGGGAGACATGAGATATCAAATACATGTAAGATGTACATTGGTTTGGTCCAGAAAGGCAGGATAAGTGGAAGGGGGGATAACTTCCAGGCCATAGGTAGATTCACAGATTTTCTGATTGGCAGTTGGTTGAAAGAGTTAAGTTATTGTCTAAAACTTAGAAATGTCTGGGTTAAGATAAGTGGGTGTGGAGACCAAGGTTTTATTATGCAGGCGAAGCCTCCAGGTGGCAGGCTTTGGAGAGAATAGATTGTAAATGTTTCTTGTCAGACTTAGAGGGTCTATCAATAAATCCAAAAGGGAGGAGGGTAGAATCAGGTATGTCCAACCCCCCACCCTTCCCATCATGGCCTGAATTAGTTTTTCGGGTTAGCTTTGGCACTGCTGAGATTCCAAATTGCTGTCAATAGCCTTGCTGAGAGGAGGGGTTCATTCAGATGGTTGGGGGGCTTAGAATTTCAATTTTGGTTTATCATCCCCATTTCACAGATGAGAAAACCAAGGCTCAGTTGTTGAAGTGTCTTGCTCAAGGATGAGCAGCTGGGGAAGGGGAGGAGTCCGCCTCACCCTTCCCATTGCAGCTGGATTTTGGAAGCCAATTCCAGCTGGAGGACTAGGAGATTTGTAGTGGGTGAGAGGAGCAAATGGAGGATTTTAATACAAGAGTGAAGTAATCACAGGGCTTCTCTAGAAATGTTGGTCCAGATCAGGTTGTACCAAGGATTTACCAAGAATGCATGAATAGTGACGTGGCTGGTGTGGGGGGTGCAGGATGTCTGGGGAGACCCGTGGAAGGTGCTGGAAGGACCACTTGGGAGGACTGGAGGCCTGAATGGATGAAGAGGAGAAAGAGGAAAGTGTCAGGCTGTCCTGAAGGGCATAGAGAAGGGGGGCATTGTGAAGGGGGTGACCAGGCAGGGAAAGGGATAGGTTTGGTGAGGAAGAAGAGGACTCACAGGTGAAACTTGCTCATGAAAACTCCAGCCATGCAGCTGGGCCTTGGGGCTGGGTGGAGGGGCATTGGGAGCATCTGCCTAGAAGGAGTGGGTGGTGAGGACTGACATTCCCACCCTCCCCTACCTGGGTGGCAGGGATAAGTGGTACTGAAAGGGCCCCTTACGACATGTGCCCCAAAGCACTGTGACCTCAGAGTTTCCAGGTGGTGGTCAGGTCCCCTGGGTCCACCAAGGGCCCCTCTGGGTCATCTTGCCGCTGTCCTTGACCCCATGGGGCTGCCCCTAGGGGCTACCTTCTCTGCTTTAAACCTCACTTCCCTTCCCTGGCCCCTTATATAAAAACAAAGCAGAACCAACCCTTTGCAAACACACCCGAGAGCTGGAGGAACAGGTCTTGGGGCATTTGCTGTTGCCGGATTTACTGTGTGCTGCTTTTGTCTTGGAAGAGTAAGCATTGGATTTATCCCTCAGGGACTGAGAGAGGGAAAGAGAAACAGGATGGGGAGCAGATGGAGGCTAAACACTTTAGTGTAATGAAGAAAAACCTGAAGACTTGTCATTGAGCTCTTCAGGGTTGTCTGGCCCATGCTGGATGATCCTCTATGAAGCGTAAGCCCCCAGGGGCACGGTCTGTGCTGTGTGCTGCATGCCCATCCTGGGGTCAACCAACAGTGCTAACACTTGGTTAACCCCAATGGGATGGTGCCCAGGAGGTAGAGGAAGCAGCTAGATTATATAAATAATGGTCAATACTCCTTAGTCATGGTTGAACTGTTGGTGAACAGAGATAAGGAAGGATTTAGTGGAACGTGCATATCATTACATCTCTCTGGGCTCATGATTTTGAGCTGAGTTACTAAATATCACTCATGCTTGGCACGTAGGACCTAATGAACCATGGTCAGAGAACCAAGTCAGAGATGGTAAACTGATGGCCTGGGGCTGAAAAATGTGGCCCACAGACATTTGTTTTGTTTTTTGATCTGCACAGTGTTTTAAAAACTAAGATAGTTGAGAACACTTAAAAGTTAGGAGCCTTTATATAAAAATCTAGATTTCCTCCTTCTTTTGACAGGTGGGGATACATGGAAGTGCAAGACCTCTGTTCCGGGGCAGCCGGGCAGGAGCTTGGTGGCTGCCACTCCACCTAGGCTGGGCAGGGTGCCGCTATTTGTGCCTTTTTGACTTGAAGACAGAGTATTGTCCACCACTTGTCACTGTTGTTTGTTCCCTTGTTTAGGTCTCAGCAGTCCTGCTGCTCTGGTTTCTTTTGTCTACAAGGCCTTGGGGCATTTGAGTTATTGACCTGGTATGTTGAGCCATGGTGCTTGACTGGTGACTGGGTGCTGGGTGCTGGAACTGAGGGGCTGCAGCGTGGTGGGGAGGGGGTGCCCTAGGACAGGGGTGAGGCGAGGGTGCATCCAGGGTCTCCCCAGCCTCTGTGTTGGGGAGGGTTCTGCCGGAGCTGGATGGTGTTGGAGCTTGGCTGCTGGAGATCTGGAGGCTCTTGCTGCACTAGAGGAAAATGCTTTTGCCTCATGTGACTTATTTGTCTGAAGTGGCCCATCTGCAGTGGAGTAAGATGAGATTTCTATCACACCGGTGTTTGCCTCTCAGTGGCTTGTCGAAAATGCTCTAGGTGGAAGGTGTCGGGTGGAGCTCAGAGGGCTGTGCCCAGGGCAGAAAGGGAGGTAGGCTGGTTATTGGGAATGTGTCTTGGTGGCAGGCCATGGTGGTGAGACCCTGGCTAGCCTGTTGATTGTCCAGGGGCCTCCAACACCTGCTTCCTTACAGGGTGGGGCAGAGGCTAGGGCTGAAGAGTGGGTTCTGAGTCATGTTCTTCATTTCTTCAAGTGTAGCTGGTTTTCTGGGGGAAGCTCTGTTACTTCTTATGTCCTGAGGAGGAGGTGCAGCGTAGAGCTCAGAGGGTAAAAGCGAAACAGGTCTGTGTCCTCAGAGCATTGGAGGGACCGCTTGGCTCAGGGTCGCCTGCTAGTCCTCCTGTCTACACTGGCGGCACCTGTGTGCTTCAGTCTTCCTCTCCCATGATCCATTTTCATTTTCTTGATTACTTTTTCCAAATGTCAGAGTTCACGTGTGCTGTTCATTGACAAGTAATATGGTTTTGGCAGAACGCTGGTCCTTGGGCTACAGAACTACTTTAGTGGGCTTAAAAATGGAAACAGCCCACTATTTCCATTTCCTCCAGGTGGAGGAAAGGTTTGAGTCACTGAGTTTGGGTTCTGAAGTCACCAGGATAGCCGGGCAAAGCCACATGGAGTCAGCCATGGGTGGGCCCTGGGAGAAGGGTCTCCTGCCAGAGGGGCAGCCTGACACAGACTTACTCCATTTCAAAATTTATTTTAATGATTTACATTGAATTGTATTTATATACTTGGTTTTAAATTAGGTCATATATTCACATGGTTCAAAATTCACAAAGAACAAAAGAGCATATAGCAAAAAGTATTCTTACCTTTTAGCCACACAGTTTTCTTCACTTTGTGTTGTCAATTTCTTGTCAAATCTTTCCAGGGAGATTTTATAAATATAGAAGCAAGTGAGTGTAATATATACATGCATACACACACACACACACACACACACACACACACATTCCTTCCCTATTTCTTATAATGACTTTGGTGAGATATAACTTATATACTATATTCACTCATTTAAAGTGTCCAACCCAGCCAGGCATGGTGGCTCATGCCTGTAATCCTAGCACTTTGGGGGCCAAGATGGGAGGATTGCTTGATGCCAGGAGTTTGGACCAGCCTGGTCAACATAGCCAGACCCCACCTCTCTTAAAAAAAAAAAACAAATAAAGTGTCCAACTCAATGGTTTTTAGTATATTTACAGAGTTGTGCATCTATCACTGAAATCAATTTTAGAATACATTCATCACTCCAGACTGAAACCATGAATCCATAGTAGTTAATCTCTATGTGTCTCTGAATTTTCTTTCTGTGTATAGATTTCCCTTTTCTGGTCTTTCATATACATGGGACCATACAATGTGTGGTCTTTTGTGAATAGCTTATTTTATTTAGTACAGTGTTTTCAGGGTTCATCTATGTGTGGCATGTGTCATTTCTTTTTATTGCCGTTATGTTCCATCGAATGGGTATACCATCTTTTATTTACCCATTCATCAATAGATAGATATTGTAGTAGCCTGTTCTCAGGGGCTGCTATAAGGAACTGCCTGAGACTGGGAAATTTATGAAGGAAAGAGGTTTAATTGCCTCACAGTTAAACCTGCATGGCAGGAGAGGCCTCAGGGAACTTATAATCATGGCGGAAGAGGAAGCAAACATGTCCTCATGGTGGCAGGAGAGAGAAGTGCAAAGTGGATTGGGGAAAATCCCCTTATAAAACCATCAAATCTTGTGAGAACTCACTATCATGAGAACAGCATGGGGGAACCACCCCCATAATCTAATCACCTCCCACAAGGTCCCTCTCACAACACATGGGGATTATGGGAACTACAATTCAAGATGAGCTTTGGGTGGGGACACAGCCAAACCATATCAGGTATTTAAGTTGTTTCCTTTTTGGGGCTATTATGAATAATGCTGCTCTGAACAAGTATATGAGTTTTTGTGTGGACATGTATTTTGATGGCTCTTGGGAATATACACCTAGGAGTGGAATTGCTGGGTCATATGATAACTCCATGTTTAACCTTTTGACAAACTGCCAAATGGTTTTCCAAATTGCTGTACTAGTTTACATCTCACTAGAAGTGTATGAGGGTTATGATTTCTTATATCCTCACCAACATTTGTTATTGTCTGTCTTTTTGCTTATAGCCATCCTAAGGTATAAAGTGGTATCTCGTTGTGTGTTTAATTTGCAATGCATTGATGGCTAGTCATGTTGACCTTGTTTGCCTTCGTGTATTGTGCATTTGTAAATCTTCTTTTGAGAACTGTCTATTCAGGTCTTTTGCCCATTTTACATTGGGTTATTTGTCTTTTTATTATTGATGGGTAAGAGTTCTTCATATATTCTACATAAAAATACTTTGATCAGATGTATAGTTTGCAAGTGATTCCTCCCATTCTATGGGGGTGTCTTTTCACTTTCTTGATTATATTCTTTGAAGCACAAAAGTTTTAAATTTTGATGAGTCCAATTTATCTAGTTTTTTCTTTTGTTGCTTTTGCTTCTGGTGTCATATTTAATAAGCCATTGTCTAATCTAGTGTCGCAAAGATTTATGCTATTTTTTTCTAAAAATTTAGCTCTTACATATAAGTCTTACATACTTATATGTAAGTTCCATTTTGAGGTAATTTTTGTATATTGTGTGAGTTAATTTTTTTAGATGATTTATAGGAGTCCAACTTTATTCTTTTGCATGTGGATATCTTTTCTATCTCTTACACATACACTATGCTTTTTACCTTGCTTTATAAAAATATCTTGTGTGTCTGAGTGGTTATTCCTAAAAAGCTCTTCATTCATTTATATAGGTGCTTAGTGTTCATTATATGGATGTAACATAATTTATTTAATCAGTCTTCTGTTAATGGGCATGTAGGTGTCATTTCACACATGTGGAAACATACCTGTAGGACAAATTCCTAGAAATGGAATTGCCGACTAAGGGCTATACCTTTTGTAACTGATGGATATTGTCACACTGCTCTCTGTATATGTTGTAACAATTTACATGTCCACAAACAAGTAATGAGAGAGTGTTTCTGTACATCCTTGCCAACAGTGTGTTTTCAGACATTTCTATTTTTGCTAAATTAATAGGTGAAAAATTGAATCTCTGTGAAGATCAAAATTACATTTATCTTATTGAAAGTGAGATTGGACATTTTTTCATAGTTAAGAATGCGGAGCCATTTAGGTTTGTGTGTGTGTGTGTGTGTGTGAACTGCCTGTGTTATGTTCTTTACCAGTTTTTCAATTAGATTATTGATCTTTTTTATTGGTTTTTAGGGACTATATATATATTAAGGAGATTAAATTTTAAAACATTTATAATATGTTAGCCAGGCGCGGTGGCTCATGCCTGTAATCCCAGCACTTTGGGAGGCTGAGGCGGGTGGATCACTTGAGGTCAGGAGTTCAAAACCAGCCTAGCCAACATGGTGAAACCCCATCTCTACTAAAAATACAAAAATTGGCTGAGTGTGGTGGTGTGTGCCTGTAATCCCAGCTACTTGGGAGGCTGAGGCAGGATAAACACTTTAACCTGGGAGGCAGAGGTTGCAGTGAGCCAAAATCATGCCACTGCACTCCTGGGTGACAGAGTGAGACTGTGTCTTAAAAAAAAACAAAAACCAAAAAACAAAAACCAAAATTTATGATGAGTTGGAAATAGTTCTCCCAGTATATCATTTCCTTTGACTTTTTTTTTTTTTTTTTTTTTTTTTTTTTTTTGAGATGGAGTCTCACTTTGTCATCCAGGCTGTAGTGCAGTGGCACGATCTCCACTCACTGCAACCTATGTCTCATGGGCTCAAGCAATTCTCTTGCCTCAGCCTCCCGAATAGCTGGGATGACAGGTGCCCACCACCATGCCCGGCTAATTTTTGTATTTTTGGTAGAGATGGGGTTTCACCATGTTAGCTAGGCTGGTCTCGAACTCCTGACCTCAGGTGATCTGCCCACCTCAGCCTCCCAAAGTGCTGGGATTACAAGTGTGAGCCACTGCTCCCCGCCTATTTACCTTGACTTTAAGACATTTTTATGTGTTTACATTTATCATCCTTTTTTAAAAAAATGGATTTTGGATTTCTCCCATGTTTTCTTCTAGTACTTCTATGGTTTTATTTTCTACATTTAAGTCTGATCCGTCTAATTTATGCTGATACAAAGTGTGAGATATGGGTGGTTATCAACAAAATATTTAATGAGTTACCTTTTTCTCACTCATTTGAAATGCCATCTTTATCCTATACTAGATTCCAGTGTGTATTTGGGTGTATTTCTGGACTTTCTATTCTGCTATAGCATCTGATTGTTAGTGTGGGATGCCACTGTGTATTAGTCTGTTCTTGCACTGCTATAAAGAAATACCTGAGACTGGGTATTGGCTAATGGTTCAGCATGCTGTACAGGAAGCATAGCAGCTTCTGCTTCTGGGGAGGCCTCAGGAAGCTTCCAATCATGGTGGAAGGCAAAGGGGAGCAG
Organism: Homo sapiens; assembly: GCF_000001405.40. Taxonomy (NCBI): domain Eukaryota; kingdom Metazoa; phylum Chordata; class Mammalia; order Primates; family Hominidae; genus Homo; species Homo sapiens. Next base: position 92,639,798 of record NC_000015.10, on the reverse strand, counting down.
GCACTCACATGGTGGGAGCAGGAGCAAGAGAAAGAGCAAGGCGGGAGGTATCACCCACTTTTAAACCACCAGATCTCTCAGGCACTCACCCACTCACTATCATAAGAACAGCGCGAAGAGGATGGTGCCAAACCGTTCATGAAGGCCCACCCCCATGATCCAGTCACCTTCCACCAGGCCCCACCTCCAGCACTGGGGATTACAGTTCAACATGAGATTTGGTTGGGGACACAGTTCCAAACCTTATCACACTGTGTTCAGTTATTGTAGTTTTACAGCATGTTTTACTAATCTAACTCCTTTATAGAATTTTCATGGCTATTCCATTCTTGCTGCTTCTCCCATCCTCATGAATTTTGGAATCAGCTCATTTAGATCCCCAGCAGAAATTGGTCGGTATCTTACTGCATTTCACTGAGCTTGCAGATTAATTTAGATGGCTTGAAATCTTTATGAGATTGAAACTTCCTAGTCAGAGGCGCAGCGTGCCCTCCTTCTGTTGACACAAGCTTGTTTTGGTTGCTTTTGGTTATCGCGGGAGCTGGCTGGCAACCAAAAGAACTTGCAGGGGCACCTCTGGGTCCTGAGAAGTGTCTGTTGAATGCCGAGTCGTAGGGTTGGGGCACATCCAGAGGTCCGAGGTGAGTTCCTACCCTCTTGTTGGAGTGTGAAGGGCTCATGTTGTGGAGTGTGATGCATCTGGATTCGAGCTCTGCTTGCTTCCTGGGACAGGTCACTCAGTGCCTTCTGGCCTTGGTTTCCTTGCCTTGATAATGGGAGCCCTCCTTGCCTCACTGGCGGGAGGCTGTGATGAGATCACATGTGCATTAGCTGGCACTCAGGGTTGTCGCCTCACAGTGCCTGCTGGTACCGTCACCCCAGTGCTGTGGATGACGCAGGAGGGGCCTGTGTGCCTGGAGGTCATGTGTAGACAGTGCCCCGTGGCAGGGATGTGCCTATGAAGAGGGGCTGCAGGATTCGGAAGAAGGAGAAAACCCAGCCTGGTTGCGATGTCCTGCAATGGCCTCAGGAGAAGTGAGAAAGCCTGTGGCCCCCTGGAGTAAGTAGAGTGAGAAGTGTTAGAGGCTGTGTCATCAGAACCCGGACCACACCTGGCAGGAAGTAGAAATGGATGAAGAAATTCGGGTTCATGACGAGAGGCTTGCTCAGAAGCACACCAACAGGGGAATTGCAGGGCTGACCCCTGAACCTCAGTCGCTGCACTTTGAGTTGGTGGCTCTGACTGTCACACTCAAAACTGAACTGAGTCTAAAGGGTTTAGTCCTGTTTTATTCTCTTCGTGGGTGAGGGCGAGGAAGGAAGGCCTCCCCCTCTGTAGGCTGCCAGGGCCTGGTGTCCTCCCTCGGCCTCCTTGTTTGTATAAGTGGGACGTATGAGCACTCACACGAAACCTGTTTCTGAGCAGCTGGTGAACAGTCCATTGAGTAAACAAACCCTCTGGCTTCAGGATTATATTTCAGACTAAAAGAATTTTGAACCTCTCCTCTCTCTTGTTAGAAATGAGTTTTGGTTCGGATGGAAGGGTGCTTTATCTCTTCTAGAAATTATCTGGCCTTGCCTATTCCTGTGAAGACAATATGGACATTTATTTATTAATAAAAGGACCACTTTACATCTCAACCAGGTTGAGGCCTCCTGGTTAACAGTAGCCTATCTCAGAAAAGAAAGATTCCTGCTGTGGAAGATGGGCCAGCAGTCTTTTCACTTCTTTATTTCCCAAAGTTCGTTCTTTGATGGGGAGTGCTAGCTGGTCTGTCCTTGTAGGCTGCCGTCCCACTGGCCCCCAGCACCACCCAGTACACAGCTGAGGGGACAGGCTCTGGACGTGGGGGCACTGGGCTGCGAACCCAAGTCTGATTGCAAACCTGGGCTCTTTCTAGAACCAGGTGCTTTGTCCTTGAGCTGCGTGTGTCTTTGAGTAAAATGAGGGCCCTGTCCCCAAGGCTGGCCCACTGCCCACGAATGGACCCAGGGGATTTCAGCTTCATCACAGCCGTGTAGTCTCTGCCTTTGCCTCAGGCTCATGGCAGTTCTGGGAGGTGCAGTTGCCGGTTGTTTGTCCTCATTGAAAGCCTGCTTACAGGTAGCCCTAAGCAAAAAATGTCAACTCTGCTTCTGTGTGTGTGGTTCATTGTTTCTATAAGGGGCAGAGTCCTGGGGTTTAAACAGGCTTGAGGATATAGGAAAATTATACTTACATATGGAAGGCTAACTATTAAAATGTGGAAAAAGCCCCAGGAAGGTGTTGTGATTACAGTGGTGGTTTCCCTTCGTGCAGTGCCTTCCCTGAGACCTCGAGGCAGTTAAGGTTTGCTAGGTTGTGTGTGTGACAGAAAACCTGGCCCCGGCTGGCTTTGGTGAAAGAGAGAGTAGCCTTGTAGTTTTTAAGGAGAGCTGGCTTGGTAGTCGATTTAGGACTTGGTCTCTCTCTTTCCAATCTGCCCTCTACCATATTGCCTTTACTTTCTGTTTCTAGATGGTGGCATGATGGCTTATGTCATCTGGGCCTCAAGGCCAGTGGGAGGGACACCCACCTGCCCTGTTCCAGCCTTCACAGCAGAGAGTCATTGGCTCGGGTTGGTCGTGCCTTCCCCTGCCCACTGCCCTGCTCCTCTGCCATTGCCATGGCCTGGGGGGTAGCAATGCCTGGATTGGCTCAGGCTCCAGGCTCACGTCCACTCCTGGAACTGGGGGTGTGGCCAGGCCCATGTGGGAGGGGCTTCACCCAGGGCACAGAGGATACAGATGCCAAAAGGAGGGAGGAAGTGGGCGTGGGCTGGCTGCAAACCAGCACACCTGAGGGAGTCACAGTTTAGGAAGGGTTTGTTAGAAGTGTGTCCAGATTAGTGTGGAATATGAAAATGTGAGCTGTGCAAAGTGACACATTCCAGAGTGTGATGAGGGAGGGCAAAGAGTTTTTTGGCGCTAAAGTCAAGTGGCTGCGAACTCCGGTGAGGCGTGGAGTGGGGCTCTTGGATGGGAGTGAGTGGGGGTGACAGAGCAGGGCATACCAGGGATGACTCAAGGCGACCTGTTGGGGAGGTCTCAGCTGGAGCACCCCCTGGCCCTCTCAGGGGTCATATGTGCTCACTATGCCCTGTGATTTTCCCGAGTTGCTTCCAGTCTATACTCTCAAGCCCCATGCAGCCTATCTCCGCGGCACATTTCAGACCATGGGTAGTTGTGCGGCACTTTCACTCACCCACGTGGGAAGGAGGCCCCACTGAAAGTCTCCTGGTCACTGGACTGCCTGCTTCAAACCCTAGCTCTGCCACTGATTAGCTACATGGCTGTGGGCAAGTCGGCTTCCCTGAGCCTCAGTCTCCTCAGTTGTTAGACAGGGATACCAGCAGCACATGCCTTGAAGCGTGCTTTAGATGTTTTACATTTGATCACAAATTTAAATCGCTTAGCTGGCACCCAGGAAAAGTTAAACTTTTAGGGACTATTATTATTATTATTTTGAGTCAGGGTCTCACTCTGTCACCCAGGCTGGAGTGTGGTGGCGAGATCTCGGCTTGTTGCAACCTCCGTCTCCTGGGTTCAAGTGATTCTCCTGCCTCAGCCTCCCAAGTAGCTGGGACTACAGGCGTGAGCCACTGTGCCCAGCCTTATGGACTATTATTTTAAAAGACACGTTAAAGAATCTACACTTAGAGAAGAGAGAGCCAGACTTGGTTAGGGTTTTTAGGCTTCGAATGCACTCTATTTTCCCATTTTCTCACGTTTTCTCTCTCTCTGAGGCAGAACTGCACTGTTCTCTGAGCCCACTGTTCAGACAGGCTTGCGGATCTGAAGGTATGTGGAAAATGCTGATTGGCTCTGTTCCTAAATTTCCCGGCTTCTGACTGGTGCATAGTTAGTAAAGGAAGAATTCTCCTTTTAATTTGAGAAATGTGCTGGGTGCGGTGGCTCATGCCTGTAATCCCAGCACTTTGGGAGGCTGAGGCAGGCAGATCACCTGAGGTCAGGAGTTCAAGACTAGTTTGGCCTACATAGCGAAAACCCATCTCTACTAAAAATCCAAAAATTAGCTGGGCATGGTGGCAGGCGCCTGTAATCCCAGCTGCTCTGGAGGCTGAGCAGGGAGAATTGCTTGAACCTGGGAGGTGGAGGTTGCAGTTAGCCAAGATTGTGCCACTGCACTCCAGCCTGGGCTACAGAGCGAGACTCTGTCTCAAAAAAAAAAAAAAAAAAAGAAAGAAATATGTGAAGATTTCCTGCACCCTCAATCCCACTTCCCTGTCCCTGCACCCTCAACTCCATTTATACGCTATGAGGTTTCCTGCTACCATCCGCGAAGACCCTTGTCAACACAGCCGGTGCACCACAGCTGGGAACGTGTCTCGATGTCTTTAAACTTCTCAGCAGTCTCAGTTTTATCCCTATTAACACACCCAGCAGTGGAAACAGCAGAAATTGCTCTTCTTTTGTAAAGAGAGTTGTGTTTCAGAGAGTTGATTGTTTGAAATGTAATTTCTCCAGCTCATTATGTCAAAACTGGCATTTGAAGCATACATGAGGACTCTTGCTAATAGCCTTTTGTATTTGGATTCTTCAGGGAAACAGAATCAATAGGGTGTGTGTGTGTGTGTGTGTGTGTGTGTGGGTGTGTGTGGAGAGATAGTGAGCGAAAGAGAGGAGAGAGAGAGAGAGACAGAGAAAGAGAGAGAGAGAGAGGCTTATCGTAAGGAATCAGCTGATGTGATTATGGAGGCTGACAGGTCCCAAGATCTGCCATCTGTAAGCTGGAGACCCAGGAGGGCTGATGGTATAAGGTCCAGCCTAAATGCGGACAAGCTGCAGACTCACAAAGAGCCGATGTGTTAGTTTGAGTCCCAAGGCAGGAAAAAAACTGATGTCCCAGTTGGAAGGCAGTTAGACAGGAGGAGTTCTCCCACTCCTTGAGGGAAAGCTGTGTTTTTTTGTTCTATTCAAGCCTTCAACTGCATGGATGGGGCCCACCCACATTAGGGAGGGCCATCTGCTGTACTCAGAGCCCGTTGATTCCACTGTTAATCTCATCCAGGGCCATCCTCGCAGACAGTGTGACCAAACGTCTGGGCACCCTGTGGCCCACTCAAGTTGTCACAGAGCATTAGCCATCACACCTTTGGTATATAATCTTGGGATTTTTTATTTCCTGGGGTTGCTTGGCTGCAGAGGCTGGCATTAAAGCATCATGGGCCACAGTGTTCTGGATGCTAGCGTAGTTTTCCTCCTTCTCCTATGGGTTGGGGTTCAAGGGCCTTATTTTAGCTCAGCAGGCTCATTTTCTTATTGTAAGACTCTATATACGTGAATGATAAGATTATAGAGAAGGAAAGTGATTTTATAGGTGTCAGGGATTCACTCCCATGAGGCAGGGCTAGGGCTGAAGACAGAGCCTCCGGAGCTTTCTCCCAGGGTCAGCCATCAGTCCTGCCCCAGGGCCAATGACTACACGAGGCATCAAGTTCCAAGTATGCAATGAGGTTTGCTAATCCAATTTTGCATTTTCTGGGCTTTGTGGTGCCTGAAAAAGAGTCACAAACATGACTATGACTCCTCAGCCTGAAGCCGTCTGGGTGTGTCCTTTTGAGGGTCCACAGGGGACTTTCTCATGTCCTTGGGTTTGAAGGACATTTCTTTTCTCCCGTTCCAGATGCTTGTTTAGCTGTGTGTCAGAAATGGACAGCCCAGCCTTGTCCCTTTGCAGAAGCCAAGCTCTCCTCCCAGACAGCCGCAACTTGTCCGGAGAGAGATTTAGGGCTGTCTTTCTGAGAAAGGCGTGTAGATCGGGAGTTTGACCCTAGTCTCAAAGGCTTGAGGATGGGTGGTTTTTCATGTGGTTTTGTCTTGGATTGCTTGTGGCATTTGGATCCACTTCTGGGCTTAAATTTCCCCCTGCCAGTGTTGAGATGGAATTGGTCTGGGGTTATAAGTCATCTAGGGCAGAATGCAGAGATTTATTTTACTCCTTTGGAGGGAGGTGGAGAGAAGTATCTCTTGGGGGAGAGAATGTGGATCCAACTGTTTATAAAGGTAGCATTTAAGTCCCACACAAAGCTTGATTTCTAAATACTGTTGTCCCAGGGCTACTGGCAAGGTGACTGGCAGTGTGCCCCTTTGGTTTATCCTCTTATCACCAGGCTTGGCATTTGCACCATGCTTTATCCTGTGTTCAGAATCCGGGTAGATTCACACCCATGCCTGTGTGTCCGTGTGTGTGCGTGTGTGTGTATACCGGTGATGAAAGCAGAGACGAAAAATGCTTTGTGATAAGGCTTGGGTATCATCAGACTTTACAGCTGATTGTTCCCCCTCTTCCAAAATCTTACTCCTTTTCCGTACCCAAGGAACCATGAGAAGTGGGTGCTGTGGGTTGTATAGGTTGCTTTATGCCAAAGACATGACGTGACACTTTGGTAAACAATGTTTTTGGTAAATCATATCAGTTAAGAGAAGACCAAGTTGCTGTTGCTAAGAAATTTTTAGAAAATCTGAAAGTGAAGTTTTGTTTTCATTCATTTTGCCAACTTACTGGAGAGTTTCTCCGTGCTGAAGACAAAGAGATCTCGCGTGTGTCTTTGATGTGGTCTCCACTCGGGAATAGCGTATGGTCAGCAAGAAGAATGTGTAGGGAACCTGATTCTTCAGTGCCCCGTTTATGACTTTCTGGGTTGGCTGGTTTCTCATAGACAGTATTAAATATTCTGAAAAAGGAGGGACATCAGTGAATATAAAGCAGTTAGGAAAAAGTTCAAGAGAGTGGAGGAACAAACACAAAGAACGTCAGTCATCACACTAATAGTGTTATTCCCAGTGGCGTCCTAGACCTTCCAGCCATGTTCTGATACATATCGCAGCCTTCGTGCAGAGAGTCTTAGGCTAGAGGCTGAAGTGGCTTCTGTCAGTGCTTTCCCTGCAGCCCACAGTGACCCTCTACCATCCTAAAGGTAAAAACATAGTGTTAGGTCTGGCACGGTGTCCCACGCCTGTCATCCCCAGTATTCTGAGAGGCTGAGGCGGGAGGATCGCTTGAGTTCAGGAGTTCGAGACCAGCCTGGGCAACATAACAAGACCTCGTCTCTACTACAGATAGAAAAAAAAAAAACAACCCAGCCAGGTTGTGGTGGTGTGCACCTGTAGTCCCAGCTTCTCAGGAGGCTGAGGCGAAAGGATTGCTTAAGCCCAGGAGGTTGAGGCTGCAGCGAGCTATGATTGCACCACTGCACTCCAGCCTAGGTGATAGAATGCGACCCTGTCTTTATTTTATTTTGAGATGGAGTCTCACTCTGTCACCCAGGCTGGAGGGCAGTGGCGCAATCTCAGCTCACTGCAACCTCTGCCTCAGCCTCCTGAGTAGTTGGGACTATAGGCACATGCCACCATGCCCAGCTAATTTTTGTATTTTTAGTAGAGACAGGGTTTCACCATGTTAGCCAGGATAGTCTCTATCTCCTGACCTTGTGATCCACCTGACTTGGCCTCCCAAAGTGCTAGGATTACAGGCGTGAGCCACCGCACCCGGCCGAGAGCCTGTCTTTAAAATACAAAACAAAACAACAAAACGAAACCAGAACACTGTAGTGTTGTAACCATTTTCCTCATGAATCCTCATGATGGAAACAAAATTGACTCATTTTCACAAGCCCTTGACCTAGGAGAAATGATGTAGCGTATTTAATTCCTCTTTATTTATCATCCCTAATAGTGACTTTTGCCAAGAGCCTGCTGTGTGCAGGCTTAACTGCATCATCTCATGCAATTTTCCCTCACCTGGTTTGTAAGGGAATGGAAGCTCAGGGAGATGAACTGACTTGCCCCTGATCACACAAGCACAGAGCAGCCTGTTTCTGACCCAACTCTCCCGTGGCTGGCCTATAGGGCGGCGCCCTCAAGCGTCAGGCTGTGACAAACCCGGTCCTCATTGGACATCTTGATCTTTGGGGCTTTTTTTTTAAAGCATGTATTTTGCCTTCTTAAAATATTGCGTTTGTGGCCGGGTGCAATGGCTAACGCCTGTGATCCCAGCACTTTGGGAGGGCGAGGTGGGCAGATCACGAGGTCAGGAGATCGAGACCATCCTGGCTAACAGGCGAAATCTGTCTCTACAAAAAATACAAAAAAAAAATTAGCCGGGTGTGGTGGCGGGCGCCTGTAGTCCCAGCTACTCGGGAGGCTGAGGCAGGAGAATGGTGTGAACCCGGGAGGCGGAGCTTGCAGTGAGCCGAGATCACGCCACTGCACTCCAGCCTGGGTGACAGAGCGAGACTCCATCTTAAAAAAAAAAAAGAATTATATATATATATAATATATTATAAATTATATATAATATATATTATGTTATATATATAATATATTATATTATATATTATATATTATATATAATATAATATAATATATAATATATAATATATTATATATAATATAATATATAATATATTATATATAATATATAATATATTATATATAATATTATATATAATATATTATATATAATATATAATATATTATATATAATATAATATATAATATATTATATATAATATAATATATAATATATTATATATAATATAATATATAATATATGTAATATATATAATATATAATATAATATATAAATTATTATATAATATATAATATAATATGTAATATGTAATACGTAATATATAATATAATATGTAATATGTAATACGTAATATATAATATATAATATGTAATATGTAATACGTAATATATAATATATAATATGTAATATGTAATACGTAATATATAATATATAATATGTAATATGTAATACGTAATATATAATATATAATATGTAATATGTAATACGTAATATATAATATATAATATGTAATATGTAATACGTAATATATAATATATAATATGTAATATGTAATACGTAATATATAATATATAATATGTAATATGTAACATGTAATATGTAATATATATAATATATAATATGTAATATATAAAATATATATAATATGTAATATGTAATATATAAAATATATTATTATTATATATTATTATATAATATAAAAAATATATAATTATATAATATAAAAAATATATAATTATATAATATATATATAAAATATATATTGCATTTGTGTATTATTTATCTTGCTTACTGAGTTTTTAGTGCTCAGACCAGGGACCTCTGCTTTAAGGGTTAGCGAGGTCGGTCACTCACTTGAGGTCCCATGACCATAAGTGGGGCAGCAGGGTGTTAACCGAATCTCCTGGGAGCAGTCTCAGCAGCCAGGCTGGAGGCAGCAGTGTGGTTTGCCTTCCATCAGATCCTCACACTCTCAGACAGAGGAAGGAAACCTGACTAAACACCAGCTGCTAAGTTGCTGTCGGGTCCTCTGGGGCTTGGGGCCCAGTGACTCTTTCTCTCCCAGCTGTGTTCTCATGAATGTGCTTCTTCTCCTGCAGGTCGGGAAAGAGGTTAAAGAAGACACGCAAGTATGATATCATCACCACTCCAGCAGAGCGAGTGGAAATGGCGCCACTAAATGAAGAGGATGATGAAGATGAGGACTCCACAGTATTCGACATCAAATACAGGTACAGGGTGGAGACAGAGGCTTCCTCCTGGGCTTGGGGCAGTGGGTTGGTGGGACCTCGAGGTCAGGCATGGTGTCCATGTGTTCTTGTTTTTTAGTGAAGTGTTGGGTCCTGGGGTGTTCTGCACGTGGAGAGACCTGCTCTGATCTTGTGTTAGTCCATTTTCATGCTGCTAATAAAGACATACCTGGGACTAGGAAATGTATAAAGAGAGGTTTAATTGACTCACATTTCCACATGGCTGCAGAGGCCTCACAATCATGGTGGAAGGCAAGGAGGAGCAAAGTCACATCTTACGTGGATGATGGCAGGCAAGAGAGCTTATGAAGGGGAACTCCCCCTTAGAAAACCATCAGGTCTTGTGAGACTTATTCACTGTCAGGACGAGAGCAGCACGGGAAGGCCCAGCCCTGTGATTCAGTTACCTACCGAGTCCCTCCCACAACACGTGGGAATTGTGGGAGCTACAGTTCAATATGAGATTTGGGTGGAGACACAGCCAAACCATATCAGATCCCTTCCTAGAACACACTGCACCCAGAAACCCAGCAGAGAATTGCTTATTACTTTTCCCAAAGGAGAACACAAAGTCACCTTTATAGAAGGAAAAGGAGGATTGTGCTTCAGACAATGAGCTAGTTGTCCACTGGTTGTCAGGGGTCCGGCCCAAGCAGCCGTGTGTGCCACACACCAGGCACCCAAACAGAAACTTCTCTTTCAGCCTCGCTTATGTCAGTAGCTGAGGACGTGGGTGGCTGGGTGGGTGGCGTTCCTGCTTGGATGGAGTTTACCGATGAGCTCCACAGGCAGGTGTGTTTCTTAAAGGCTTTCTCTAGGAAAGTCAGAATGACTTTGTGACTTTAGGATTGTAGTGTGGGTTTTCAGATCATTTTGAGGTGTACTTTGAATATGTGAGCTTCTTAATGGAAGAGCTGAGGATGAGCATAGTTTTGAGACGAGGGCTCGAAGACCCAGAGAAAGGGCATTGCTTGGCCAAAGTCCCAATTAGTAGTAAAAGTGGAACAGAAATGCAGGCTGGTCCCTATCTTGGCTCCCCGGATCCCATGGCTTCTGCATGTCTGGGAAGGCAAGCCTTCCACACCTGTGTTCCTCAGCACAGCCTTGGCGGTCCTTGGTCCTTCTGCATAAATCAGTTGTCAGACTCAACAAGACAATGTTTGGGATTTTGATTGGAACTGCATTGCCTGTGGATCAATTTAGGGAGAATCAGCACTTTTACATTGACTTTGCCAATCCATGAATATGGAATGATTTTCCATTTATTAGGTATTTAAAAAAATGTTTTTCAGTACTTTAAAAAATTTATGTATAAATGTTTTATACATTTTTGTTAAGATATATTCTCATTGGTGTTTTACATTTTGATATGTATATTTTTTACTTTAAAGTACTATTTATACTCATGTCTGGAGAAAATGACTGTATTATCATGTTTACATACATATTGGTTTTGGAAGCTCAGTTTGTTAGTGAATCACACCTAAATCTTATAAAGAACCTGAAAGCATTAAAACGGATTGGTTATGGATAACAGAATGGGAGAAAAATCCCATTAGTTGTAATTTGCATTTTAGGTAAAGGGCAGCACCCTTTGAAAAGAATCAAATCAATTAGTAATATTTATTCATACCACAAAATAATGCACAGTTGGCCCTCTGTACCTGAGGGTTCCACATCTGCAGGCTCAAGCAACCACAAATTGAAAATGTCTGGGCTCGGGCATGGTGGCTCATGCGTGTAGTCTCAGCATTTTGAGAGGCCGAGGAGTGCAGATCTCTTGAGCTCCAGGGTTTGAGACCAGCCTGGACCACATGGTGAAACCCCACTTCTACAAAAAAAAAAAAAAAAAAAAAAGCAAAAATTAGCCAGGCATGGTGGTGCATGCCTGTAGTCCCAGCTACTTGGGAGGCTGAGGTGGGAGGATCACTGGAGCCTGGGAGATCAAGGCTGCAGTGAGCCATGAACATGCCACTGCACTCCAGCCTGGGCAACAGAGGAAGACCCCATCTCAAAAAAAAAAATTTTGGGAAAAAAACAATACAACAATGAAAATAATACAAATCCAAAAGACAATACAGTGTAACAACTATTTACATTGTATTAGGTATTAGGAATAATTTAGGGATGATTTAAAGTATACTAGAGAATGTGCATAGGATACACGCAAATACTACACCGTTTGATATAAAAGACTTGAGCATCTGTGGATTTTGGTCTTTGCAGGAGGTCTTGGAACCAATTCTCTGAGGATACCAAGGGATGTCCGTGTACCTAGGAAAGTTAGTGATTGTATTGATTTTATCGCTAAGCCATTTTATCTGTCTCACATTCAATACAAAGAAGTAAAATACAATGTGAAGAAAACCATGTCCTTATTACTATTCACAGTCAAAAGAGTCCGCTTCCTCCTGCACGGCTGGGAATATTGTACAATAGGGAGCGTTTAATGGTTCGAGTGGATCAATGTACTGTTTTGATTCTGAGCCAGTGAACAGCGTCTCATCAATCTTTGGTGACTGAACTAACTCCGTGGGAAGCATGATAGACAGAACTATTTTTGTGGTGTCTCCACATCCCACTGAATAAGAGAAGACCCTAAACAAGGAAATATGACAATCAATCTGCTCAGAAATTCTCTTTATAGGCTGTTTCCTAGAAGGTGGGAAAAGGGGCCTTTCCCTGAGGGCATAGACGTCCATATTATTGTGGCCTGGTTGCTGGATTGACATTGTGTCTGGTATGATGAAGATAAGGCACACGTTGAAACGAGTGTCACATTAAGAAACTTCCACAGCTTGTCTCAGTTCTTCAAATAATGGAGCGAGTTCCTTTTCTAGGCTGACAATGACTGCCATATTGGCATTGCTGCTGGCTGTGAAACAAACAAACTACTAAAGGTAAACCACCTGGTAGGTGTTAAAGTTAACAGATAAGTCCAAGCTTGTGTTTTGAAAGTCCAGGTTGGCTTGCTGGCTGGCGTGTTGCGAGGGCAAAAGTTAGTGAGACACCTGGTCTCCGGGCACGCTCTGGGTCATTTTCGTTGGCCACTTTAATGATGTGCATTCCATCTCTATCTGACACAGCGATAGTGCGGGGCCCTTCAACACTTGGTGGTTTTTTTTTTGTTTTTTTGTTTTTTTTGAGATGGAGTCTCGCTCTGCCGCCCGGGCCAGAGTGCAGTGGCACTATCTTGGCTCACTGCAACCTCTGCCTCTCGGGTTCAAGCGATTCTCCTGCCTCAGCCTCCTGAGTAGCTGGGACTACAGGCATGTGCCACCATGCCCAGCTCATTTTTTGTATTTTTAGTGGTGACGGGGTTTCACCATGTTGGCCAGGATGGTCTCGATCTCTTGACCTCGTGATCCACCCGCCTCGGCCTCCCAAAGTGCTGGGATTACAGGTGTGAGCCATGGCGCCCGGCCAGCACTTGGTGGTTTTTAATACAGGAATAGTGTTAGCTCCCTGAAGCACCTTAGTAGTGTCTCCTCTGCCCCTATTCTAGGCAGAAACTCAGGACCCTGCAAATCCCTCTGTATAAGTTTCCCGCTCCAGACCATCGGCCGTAAAGAACCCCTTTGTCCCACTGACCAGTCTCCATGCCTGGGTTTCTGCTTCTAGGGCTGCCAGCTTCTCTCTGCTGTCATTCTGGGGACAGTGTCAAAAACAGATTTCTCTGCAAGCCGCCATCTCATGATTCATGACTTTGATGTCTCTTAAAAAATATTATTTTTAAACTTTTTGTTTATTGCAGTTATTTTTAAAAGATACTGATTTTTTTAAAAAAAATCCAGCAACTGGCTGGGTGCGGTGGCACGCGCCTATAATCCAGCACTTTGGGAGGCCGAGGCGGGCGGATCACGAGGTCAGGAGATCGAGACCATCCTGGCTAACACGGTGAAACCCTGTCTCTACTGAAAATACAAAAAATTAGCCGGGCACGGTGGCTGGCGCCTGTAGTCCCAGCTACTTGGGAGGCTGAGGCAGGAGAATGGCGCGAACCCAGGAGGCAGAGATTGCAGTGAGCCAAGATCGCGCCAGTGCACTCCGGCCTGGTCTCAAAAAAAAAAAAAAAAAAAAATCCAGCAACCTTGCTAAACTTTTATTAATTCTTGTAGGATAAATGTGGAATCTTTGGGTTTTCTGTGTAGATACGTCATCTGGGACTAAGAAGAGTCCCTGTCCCTGCTCCCAAGTCCTTAAACGTTTTATCTCTTCTTTTGCTTTGCTTTTGCCTTTTCTGCTTCCCTTCCTTGAGAAGTTTGTGCTGTTTGTGGTTGAAATAAAATCAGAATGTGAGTGAACTTGGAAGTGAGTCATTAGACACAAGCCCACTGCAGTCCTCAGGCCTAAAGATGACTGACTGTTCGGAAAGACTAAGTAGTGCTGGCTTTTCTTATTACAGAGGTAATGTTAAGCTGTAGAAAATACAGATAATAAACAGGAAAGACACAGTTACTTGTCATCTCACTACTTAACAGTAACCACTAGAGTGTGTGAGTATATAGATGTGAAACTTTGTTTTTTATAGAAATAAGACTGTATTATACATGCTGTTTTGGCACGTTTTTCTACCCAAACAATGAATCATGAGCAACTTTTCAGGCCAATAGGTGTGAAAGAACAAAGAGTTTCAGACGTTGCATGTTTGGTTTAGTGTTTTTGTGAACTTCTTTGTCTGCACATGGCTAATCTGTTCACAGGTACTTGTTTTTCCCATTTAGACATAACTCAACCAAATGTTTCAGTTCTCTCTAGGAAACAGACTACATTTAAATCAGATGAATCATGGCTTTGGGTTATTTTGTGATTGGGTGGAAAGAGGAAAATCATGTTTTTGGCACCAGGGCAGTAAGGCAGAGTAACCTGCTTCTTATTTCCCAGGTAACTCTCTGGTAACATCTTGTGACTTAGAGCCTGTGCCTATCAGACAGGCTTTTTTTTCTCGAAGTTTTCAGCCAGGTAGGAAATGAAGGAGGAAGAATACAGGCAGGGTAGGAGATAAGACCTTGAGTGCGTAGGGCCAGAGTTTGGGGAGGGAGGGAGGGAGTTCTATAGAAATGAATCTCTAACTCTGTACTTAAAAAGACTAATTAGAAAGAAGAAATGATAGCTAACCAGAGTACAAGAGTGCCCTGGGGTTTTGAAATGGTTCTTTCAAGAGGCGTTTGGGTTTCGGCTGCATGTGTTTTGAGCTTTGTTGCCTAGTGTGCAGTTGTGTGGATGCTCTGGGCCTCTTTGCATTCCCGGTTTATTACAGAAGACTTTGTTACACCCTCTAGGCGTCCTCCAGGAAGAGACAGATGTGGGCTTTTCCTCCCGTGTGTGTGGCAGGCGGCCCGGCAGCTGTGACAGGCGCAGCCCAAAGGCACACTGCTGGGAGAACGCGCTGCTCCTGCCAGCCCTGCCTCCCCACCAAGAGGGAGGTCCCTGTCCCGGCTTCTTATGTGTGGAAAGGATGTGGCCCCGTGGGGGTGTGGACGTTCATTCTAGAAATCCCTGCTTCCCACCCTCTTGTGGGTAGGGCTTCCTTTGGGAGTATAATTAGAAACCCACGAGATTTCCACTGTAATGCTGCGGGCTTTGGCTGGTGTCTTGTCTTGGAAACAAAGGGCATTTTTGTGCAGTTTGCAGCATGAGGCCTCTGCAGGGTAGGCAGGGAGTATGGGAAAACAGACCTGGCTTGCTACCCGGGAGCTCTGAGTCCCCATGGACGCCCTCATGGCAGTTGCTAAGCACACTCAAGGCAGTGACTTCTTGGAGCTGCTTCTACTTACTGAGGACCTCTGAATGGCCAGGCACCCCAGGCTTCCTCGTGGTCTTCTGAGGGCGAACTGTTAGGAGCATCGGCAGATGGACAGCTGCCTGGGCGGTGGGTATAGAAACAATGGGCATCATTAGCTTCCAAGGCCTGGAAGGAACCAGAGAGGAGCCGGTGACCTGCAGGGTAACTGTATCTGAAACAGCATCAGAAGCCATCCCCAGACCAGTGTGAATAAACCTCTGCCAGTCCTCTTCCTTGCAGAATGCAGAGGATATGTGTTAAAAATGGGCATCTCATGGAGAATTTTTGTTTCTTTGGAAAGCAATATTGGCAGCCTGCGGGCAATTTTCATTTAGGGTGTCTCACTCAAAGCCAGGGCACCTTAAAAATTCTTGTGTCTATGTCTATGAGGATGGAGCCTACGTGAACAGGAATCTGATCAAATAAACAAAAAGGAAAGAGAAAGAAAGAAAAAGAAAAGAGGGAAGGAAGGAAGGAAAGATGAACAACACAAATCATCCTAAGTATCAATGCTTTTGCAAAAGCAAGCCATGTTTTTCAGATGTTCTTTTCTTGTGTGTCCCTGGATGGAAGCAGTAGAACTGCCAGGGGCTTCCCTGTCACGTGGTGGTGGTGTCCACACGTTTCTCTGTCTCAGACATACTCACAGACAGGCCAGGCCTCCTCCCTCCGGCTTCTCCGTCGTTCACTCATAAGGCCACTGCGTCCTCTTCCCAGAGTGTCCTTGCCGGCTGCACTGAGACGTCAGCTGCCAGGGTGCCAGACGCTACTGACAGGTGCTGCAACAGGTGTTCCTGTGTTGAGGGCTATTTTGCCTGCCGGACAAGCTTCTTGTAAAACATGGGCCAGAAGCAAGTTGGGACATGTCACTCTCCTCGTGTGGGATGGTTGTAACCCAGTGTCATCCTGCGGCACGGTGGGAAATCTGAATAAGCCTGGGCGGTGGCAGCTAAATATGCCTTCACTTCCTATAGAGATTTTGGTGGGGGTGGTGGTCAGCATTGACTCTTTCTGACTTATGTTAATGATGAAGCAGGAATGTCACTAGCAGTTTGGCGGTTCTGGGGGATGAGAAGGGGGCCGAGAGAGGCCTCTTGGAATCTCTGCTTGTCACCTAGCACATGTCTAGTTGGTAAGCCTGATAATTCTCTTCACCATGAGTACAGGCTGGGTAAGCCTGGCCCTGCCCTCGAGGGGCCTGTGTTGAGAGTGGGAGACAGCAGGAGCATGGCCACTTTTTTCTTTTTTTTTTTTGAGATGGAGTCTTGCTTTTGTTGCCCAGGCTGGAGTGCAGTGGCACAATCTTGGCTCATTGCACCCTCTGCCTCCCGGGATCAAGTGATTCTCCTGCCTCAGCCTCCTGAGTAGCTGGGATTACAGGCGCCTGCCACCACGCCCAGCTAATTTTTATGTTTTTAATAAAGATGAGGTTTCCCCATATTGGCCAGGCTGGTCTCGAACTCCTGACCTCAAGTGATCTGCCCATCTTGGCCTCCCGAAATGCTGGGCAGGTGTGAGGTACCGCACCTGGCCAAGCATGGCCACTTCTAAGACCACCTGGCAAGCCCTCTCACAGAGGAAGGAACAGGGTGCTGTGGGCAGCCAGGAAGGGGCAATAAGTTCTTCCCAGAGGTGGTGAAACCTACAAGTTCGAGAGGACCACGAAGTGAGCCCAAGGTGGCTCAACATGCAGGGAGCAGTGAGGGCATTCCAGGGAGAAGTAACAGCAGGTGCAGGCAAAGGGACGTTTAAGCCAGCATAGGGATCTTCAGTGAGTGGCAGCTTTGAGCCTCTGCCCCCCAAGCCCCTCCTCGGGGGAACCCCAAAGCTTCTGGCCAATAGATGGCCACAGGGAAACAGCTAGATGACATTGAGAGAGCCAGGACTTTACAGCCAGCCTCCTCTGGAGACAGCTTGTCCCCTCCACTGTCCCTGGAGTATTGTTCCTGAGTGCCAGTCACCCCAGAGAGCCTGAAGGCCCAGCCAACTACATGGCTGAAACTTGGGGTATGGCTCTACCACCTCCTGGAGAGACCCAGAGAGCTGGTGTCCAGGCCTGACCTGGGCAGGCGTTGGTGTGTGCGGGTGGACTTCTCCCCGTGGAGGCGCGTGAAGGATTCTGCGATGAGCAGTGTGGCTCCCTACCTTGTGTATGTGTGGGCGTTTCTTAAGCACACGGATGTAGACAGCAACCTGGGGGTGAGGTGAGGGCAGAGAGCCTGGTAGGGGATCCCCGTAAGATTCAGAGCAGTCCCGTGGGATGCCCAGACACTTACGGAGGTGAATTTCAGCATGGCAGCGGTACAGAGTTTGCATCTCCGTTGATTCTGCCGGCTGCTTTCCCCAGAGCCCGCAGGCCTGCCGTGGCCAGATCTGCTCTGGCGCAGCTATGGCGATCAGGTCCCTGCCCTCAGCTCCGATTCTTGGTCTTTAAAATCTTCACTGCTCCTCTCCAGTTCCTGTGCCCCCACCCTTCATCCTCGACATTGACCTTCCAGCAAGATGCAGTGGAAGGCCTGATGGTGGAATCAGACCTGGTAGGAACCTTAATGTTGGGGGTCCTTAGTCCCTTCCTCTTTGCAGTGGGGGGTGTGAGTGCTTGGGCTCCGAGATGTTGGTTTGTGAGGTTAGCTCCCCCGACTCCCCAACCCACAGAAGGGGCCAGGGGGTCACTTGAAGAAAGCCAGCCTCCTGCACAACTTGGACATGGCTTGCTGGAGATTTCTTTTTCTCTTTCTCTAGTCTGTTGAGTAGGGGACTTTAGTGGCTAATATGAAGATACTCAATTTTTTTTTTTTTTTTGAGACGATCTTGCTCTGTCACCCAGGCTGGAGTGCAGTGGCAAGATATTGGCTCAATGTAGCCTCAACTTCCCAGGCTCAAGTGATCATCTCACTCAGCCTCTTGGGTAGCTGGGACTACAGGCACAAGCCACCATGTCCAGCTAATTTTTGTAGTTTTTGTAGAGACAAGCTCTCAGTATGTTGCCCAGGCTGGTCTCTAACTACTGGGTTCAAGCGATTCTCCTGCCTTGACCTCCCAAAGTTCTGGGATTACGGGCGCGACCCACTGTGCCTGGCTTATGTTTTCTCTTTAAACAACTTTTTATTTGGAAAAAAAATTAAACTTCATGCAAAAATAAAAATAGCGTAGGGAACACCCTATACTTTTAACTCATATTTTCCTGTTAACATTTTTTGCCTGTTTGCTTTCTGATTCATCCGTGTGTATATGTATGTGTGTGCACACAAATGGTTTTTACTAAACCATTAGAGGGTAAGTTATGTATACCATGGCCCTTTCCTGCAAATGATTAAGTATCTATTTCCTAAAAATAGGATGTTTACATCTTCTAGTAAATAGCTACCTGTTATGGTAATATATTTGGTATTATGTAATATTATGACAGGAAGTTCATTATTTTGTAAATTCTATTAAATCTTTGTTATTTTTGCTCATGGGATTATATAATGCCCATAATCAAACATCAGGAGGTGATGGTGGCAGCTTTAACTGGTCAAATTTTCCCTCCTTTTCTAAGTCCCTTTAGATGATGTCTTGAGCAGAGTCAGTTTTTTTTTTTTTTTTTTTTTTTTGAGACAGAGTCTTGCTCTGTCATCCAGGCTGGAGTGCAGTGGCGCCATCTCAGCTCACTGCAACCTCTGCCTTCCAGGTTCAAGTGAGTCTCATGCCTTAGCCTCCCAAGTAGCTGGGATTACAGACGTGCAGCACCACACCTGGCTAATTTTTGTATTTTTAGTAGAGACAGGTTTTCACCTTGTTGGCCAGGCTGGTCTCGAACCCCTTACCTCAAGTGATCCACCCGCCGTGGCCTCCCACAGGTCTAGGATTACAGGCGTAAGCCACCAAGCCTGGCCACAGATTTAGTTTTTAAACTTATGCTTATTTTTTTGAGACGGAGTCTTGCTCTGTTGCCCAGGCTGGAGTGCAGTGGTGCGATCTCTGCTCACTGCGAGCTCTGCCTCCCGGGTTCACACCATTGTCCTGCCTCAGCCTCCTGAGTAGCCGGGACTACAGGCACCCACCACCACTCCCGGCTAATTTTTTGTATTTTTAGTAGAGATGGGGTTTCACCATGTTAGCCAGGATGGTCGCGATCTCCTGACCTTGTGATCCATCCGCCTCGGCCTCCCAAAGTGCTGGGATTACCGTGCCTGGCCTAAACTTATTTCTTGTACTTCTTATGTTTTCTGACACTGTGGTGTGGGCCCGGGGTTTAAAGGTAAGGAAGCTTAGATGTGGCTTTTGTCTCAAGCTCCCAGTCTAAGCAAGAGACCAACACTACTCAGATACATAAACCAGGAGTCAGCAAACTATGGCCCATGGGCCAAATCCAGCCCACTGTCTGTTTTTGTACAGCTCAGGAGCCAAGAATGATTTTCACATTTTAATGGTTGAAAAAGAACCAAAGGAAGAATACTATTTTATGACATGAGAAAGTAACATGCAATTCAAATTTCAGTGTCTATAAATAACATTGTACTGGAACACAGCCATGGCCAAGCATTTCTTGCTGTGGCTGCTGTTCCACCCCAACAGCAGGGTTGAGGAGTTATCACCGTGATTGTGGGATCTGCAGAGTTTACAATATTTCCTCTCTGGACTGTCACAGAAGAAGTTTTCCAACCCCTAGTGTAAACACCCTGGAAGTGCTGGCAAGGAGAGGGATATAAGGAGAAAGAGGTTGTGTTCTAGGGAGTCTGTGTGGGGAGCTGGGGGAGGGATCCTTAGTTGGGAACTGTGGGGAGGGAGGGGGTTTGCTGGAAGAGTGGATTGCGCCTTCCAGACAGCACGCTCAAAGGTCCTGTGGCTGGGGACTGTGGCCTTTTCACTGGCTGAGAGGGTGAGGGATAGAGATGTTCAGGAGGGGTCAGAATGGGTGCGAGGCTCTGCCAGAAGGGGCTTACTCTTGTCCTTCCCTTTCTTTTAGGTAAAACCTGTTTCCCAGCCTGGTGGCATCCTGTGGAAAGTTGGTCAGCTGCAACCTGGGGTGTGAAGGACTGGACCTGGAAGCCCTCTTGCGTCGGAGGTGTTGAAACCAAAACGAACGTTATGTATAAAACCCCAGCTCCATCGTGCGTGTCAGGCATCTGCTCAGACTGTCACTGGCAAGCTCGTTTCCACGTCACCACAATGGAGTTGCTTCTGCCACCCTTTGGGCATCCCTTTAAAGTGCCCCCTACTTCTACTCCCCATGTAAGAGGCTTTGTGCCTTGCTAAGGAGCAAAGGGTAGAAACATGTTGATTTTAAAGAAGTTTTTTTAAGACAATTGTTGACAATAGTAAAAGAGATCAGGAGGATCAAGAATCTAAAACAAGCCTGAAGGATGTCCAACTGTGTATTTAGAATTTCCGACATTCTTCTCTACTGGATCTACACATTGGACCCCATCTGATCCTTTGCTGCTTTTTTGGCTTGGTCAGGTCCTGGCCTCATTTTGGCGTTACCTGTGTCAGAGTTCAAGGTGGATGTGCTTAGAGCTGGTCAGCCCCTTCCAGACCTGGACACGTCTGTGGCTCCTTTTCTTTCTTCCTTTTTTTTTTTTTTTAAAAAAAAAAAAGGTTCAGCAGAAATCAGCGTGGCTAGTTCACAAAGAATTTCCAGTATCAGGGAAAAACTGTGCGTGTGTGTGTGTGTGTGTGTGCACGTGTGTGCGTGTGCACGTGTGTGATACCTATAAAACAGTTTCTCCTTCTCTGAAGGGAAAGGAAAGTGCTAGGCAGCCTGTGATTAGCAACATTCTTTGTGCTTTTTTGTTGTTCCTCTGCTCTGTCACAGTTCTACGTTGTTTGCCTTAGAAATGTAATTTTTAAAAACCATTTTAAAAATGAACGGTGATTTGGCTGGCTGGAAAAAATCACACTGTCAGGGGACTATATTTGAAGTCAGTCTAGACGGGGCTGGACTAGGAACCCACCTGGACCCAGGAGACCCCACAGGACCCAGGAGGTCCCTGCCGGAAGGCAGAGGTTCAGGTGAGAGTGGCTCACCTCTGAGCTGGTGAAGTGAGGACTTGCCTGTGACATGACCCAGGGATCTGCTGCTGGCTTCTGGAGACAGGGCCTTGGGCTGACTTCTCAGGTTGATTGAGGCCTCCTGACTAGCGGTGTTCCCAGGCTAGAGGTGATTGGCTGCAACAAAGATGCTTCTATTAGTCTATTAGCAGTGCCTTCGGGACCCTGGGATTTTGCTCTCTCTAGAAAGGTGTTTTTTATTTTTTTATTTTTTATCTCCCCCTTTTTTCCTGGCTTTGCTCCAGGGTTTGTGTATTTGCCTGTTTATTGTCCTGCTCTTTTTTTTTTTGGATGAAAACTCCAGCCTTTCCTGACTCACCTCCATCTTCGGTTCTTCAGTTTTCTGAGAAGAGTTGGGATATGTGGGAAGGGGCATGGGAGCTCGGCAGCCTCCGCCTGCCAGGAAGGCAGTTTCGCCTCTGCAGGAAAGAGCAGAGCCCGTGGGAAGCCCTGGGTGAGGGTGGCGCAGCCGGCCCAGCACGCATGGTATTGCCAGCCACGGGGGGCCTGCGTGTAGTCTCTGCTCCCTGCATTTCACCTTCTTTGTTGACTTTCCTTCTCTGTTTTCCCCCATCTGTTTGCCAGAGGGGTGGGACTGGCAACAGAACAGCCGTGGCTGCTTTATCTCTCCTCTCCACGGTGTACTCAGGCCTGAGTGGTGACTCACGGGAGCCTGGCCACCTCGCAGCTGTTCGCCCCCTCAACCTTTGAACTGGAACTGCTGGCTCACACAGGGTTTTCGACAACTGCAGCTGAATCTCATGGAAAAGCTGGATTCCTCTGCCTTACGCAGAAACACCCGGGCTCCATCTGCCAGGTGCTTGCCACTGGTCCTGGCAGAAATGGCGGCTGCTGAAAGTGACCTTCCAAATCCTTGGTGGCACTTCAGCGCCACAGGCTCTCCAATAAAAACCCTTTACACACAAACCATGAGTACCTTGGGCTTGGATGTTTTCTGTGGTGCCGGCCAGCGGGGCACCTTTTGTGAAGACAGAGGTGGGTGGGCCCAAGGCTGAGGAGGAGGGCGGGGATGGGAGCTGGGCTGGAGGTGTTTGGATCCTGGTGATTAGAGAAAAGCTTGGAAATGAAAAAGGCTTGGTGGTGGAGGGGCATGCATGCTGTTTTTACGTCTACATATACAATTGGAGGCTCACTCGCTCATTTCCTGGAAGCTTGCTCCTTGGCTAGGAAATACTGAGGCCTAACTGTTTCCAGAGAATCTTGGGGCATCTCCAGAGAAGATAGAATCAATCACATAAAAAACTGCTGGCTTGTAACTGCCTCATACCTGGCTTGCTTTACTCTATGAGTAAGCATGGGATGCATCTGGGCCGGGTTCACAGCGAGCTGAGAAAAAGCCGGGGGAAAAGCCCATTTGCTGCCGTCCAGCTGGTTCCCTTGGAGGTCACCAAGGAGCTGGGGGTGTGGTCTGTGTCCCTCCTCCCTGAGGAGCTACTCCTGTGCTCCGTCTTCTCTACCACTGTAGCAGTGACTAAGGTTCTCCAGGGTAGCTCTTTCTCCAAACAGCTGCGCTGGAAGCCAGCCCTAGAGAGTGGGTTTCCCCATCATCTCAGGCTTCTCAGAGAGTGTCCTCCGCTGAGCACCCATCCTGTCAGGTTGGCTCGTTCAGATGCCCGGGGACAAGCCAGCCTGACGGGGAGGAGGGTGTTTCGGCGTCCGCGGCAGTCTCTGCATGGCGGAGGGTCAGCGGGTACCGCAACTTGCCTTTTGGTTTTGAAGATTCTGTTGAGGCGCCATCCTCACCTTGACCTCTTCTACAAAATCTGTCTCCCCTGCTGTGCCGTGGAACACCTACGGGAAGCCAGTAAGTTAAAGTCCTAAGATCAAAGCCCCTCCCTCTACTGCCTGCATCTCCTGTCATAAAAGCCTGAATTGTATGGTTATTCTTACACCCTGTGGGGATGGGGGATGCTTTATACGGACATGGCACATTATCCTCAAAGGGCCCTGGATGCACCCATAAGTTTGTGTCCCGTGCTTGCCCCCTTTGGTGAAATTCTTGGCTGTCGGTGTCATTTTAAGGAAATCAGGGGAAATTACCCAGAAGATCAGGGTCTGTAGGAGAAGAGGGGTAGGGGATGCATCAGTGACCCAAACTTGCTGGTGAGATTTGGCAGCTGAAGCCATTTAAAGAGATTGGCGGTTGGGCGTGGTGACTCATGCCTGTAATCCAGCACTTTGGGAGGTGAGTAGATCACCTGAGGTCAGGAGTTCGAGACCAGCCTGGCCAACATGGCGAAACCCCCATCTCTACTAAAAATATAAAAATTAGCCTGGTGTGGTGGCAGGTGCCTGTAATCCCAGCTACTCAGGGGACTGAGGCAGAAGAATCACCTGAACCTGGGAGGCGAAGGTTTCAGTGAGCTGAGATCACGCCACTGCACTCCACCCTGGGCAACAAGAGTGAAATTCCATCTCAAAAAAAAAAAAAGATTGGCACCTTGGTGTTGCCAGTTTCTGAAGAGGGGAGAGGAGGGTTATGTTACAAGCATCACCAACAAAGAGCATTGTGACTCAGCAGAGGGGAGAGCAGTAGTAAAGACTTTGGGGATGATGCTGGACTGCCTCCCCAGCCACCCACCTTCCTTGCACACGCTTCTTGTGGCAGCATCATGAGTTTGCAGGTCCAGATGTTGCTTGCATTGTAACCACAGCTCCCTGTGCCCCCCAGTGCCTGCTGTATTTGGGTTAGATATTTTCTTATAAATAAATGATTTAATCTTTTCAGGGTGAGGGGCGAGCCCTGGGGACCTGGAAGGTGTTCACTCCAGCACCACTAGTTCAGAAAAAGGGTCTGTCCCATAAGGCCCCCAGGCTGCTCGTATTGACAGGTGCGAGCCGGCGCTTCCCTCCAGCCCGGTGGTGCCACAGTTGCTTGTGGTTTTTATTTATCAGAGAATTCAAGAACACCTGATGTGGACTCAGTGTACACAGCATACCACTTGCGAAAACCGAGTTTGTTTTCCATTATTTTCGAGAACTAAATAGACGTGACTCTTCCGGGCGGTTGTCATGAGCCACTCCCTGCCTTGCTACCTGAGTCTTCTTGGGTCCAACAAGTACCTGGGTGTGACTCTCCTTGTAAAGTGCCTCAAAATTTGCTGTTATTTCTTGTTAGGCTTAGTTAGTTGGTTTATTAGCAAGCTCATTTTCCCTGGGATGGGTTTTTTGATGAGCTGAGTTGATGTGGATGGGAACACAAGGCGCTCTTGTGTGTCTGTTGGCATCCAGGTGGCCCACAGTGTCTAGTATAAATGTCTCCATGGCTGATCTGGCCTGGGGTGCTGTGAACAGGCTTCCTGCTGTGAGCAGGTAAGAGTGTTGTGAATGAATTATCCCCAGAGTCTGCAAGACAACCGGCCAGGTGGTGCTGAGTGTGGCAGGAAGAGGAATCGGATGCAGACAGACAGGCATGTGTTTCCTGGCCTCACTGCTCACTCATGAACCCTGTGACCTTGGTCCCACTTTTTCCATCTGCGCTATAGGAATGCACCTCTTTGGTTACTGTGATCATTAAATTACGTAATTTAGCCAAATACCTGCTGCAGGTGCCTGGCACCACCGGCACCACCAGCACCACCAGGAATGGTCGCCACTAGCACCACCACCTCCACCATGAATAGTTTTTGCGGTCTTCCTGGGTGCCAGGTGCCTTTGCACACACACTTCCTTATTCAGTCCTTAACAGCATCCTTTAGGTAGGTATTATTCCTGGAACAGACTGATCATTTCCAGAGGCCCAGGGCTGTTTCCCCTGGATCATATTTACCTCCCTGGCTCTCCATAAGAAAACATCCATTTGCTTGGCACTTTGTCATCCTTTGAGTCCTGCCAACAAGGTGGCGAGGTAGGTATTTGTCTTCATTTTGTACACACAGGGCTGGGTCTAGGAAGGTCAGTCACGGCACAGGGTCACATGGTTTCTAAGGGGCAGGTCTCAAACCACCAGTCTCCTGCCCTCTTCAGCACTTTTCCCTGAAAGGAAGACGAGGGGACTTTTCTTCTGAGACCAAAACGGCTCACACTTGGGATAGCAGAAGATGTCATCTCTGGGCCAAAGAGATAAGGTCATATGTTCCAAGAGGCACCCACTCTGGCTGTGGCTCCCTAAAGGGGAAAGAGGTCTGCAGGGCAAAGGGACATGTCCCCTGGACCCCCAGATCCTTCCTTTTCTATAATTCTCTGCCCAAATGCCCCTTTGCTAGCTGCCAGGGCCTGCACTGAGTTCATCTTCCCTGGGGCCACTTGTGTGCCCATGCCTCGGCTGAGAATGGCCAGCTGTGGCTGAGACGTGGACATGGTTGGAGCTCAAACATGCAGCCCCGGGTGTCCACACTCATGTGCGAGGCCCCTTGTTACAATGACCAGGTGGGGATGGCAAGAGAAGGGGAATGGGCCGCGGACCAGGGGCCTCCACCGATATCCTGGCCTGAGCCCAGCAGGCATTAGGAGCAGGTCAGCTAACCTGGGACCTGACTGGGGCTGTGTGTTTGATTTCCATTTCCATTTTCAGTTCCGCTCTCATCACCAAAGAGCCCACTCCTGGTGCCTGTGATGTTATGACAGACCGTAAGCCAAACTGGAGTCTGGTTCTGGGGGATTTTCTACGTCTCCTCTTTTTTCTTATCAAGATGTAGAGATGTGCTTTGAGGTCGCCACTGTTCCAAGATCACATTGTTTTTCTTTGTGATGATTCTGTTTCCTACATTGTACGGTTTTGAGGCCGTTTC
Source organism: Homo sapiens (assembly GCF_000001405.40). NCBI lineage: Eukaryota > Metazoa > Chordata > Mammalia > Primates > Hominidae > Homo > Homo sapiens. Next base: position 92,613,623 of record NC_000015.10, on the reverse strand, counting down.
TTGATTGGGCCAGCCTTGACGTCAGCTCTCGTTATGTGATGCTCTCACTTTCCCTCTTAGTCCCCTCAAGGTCTTGGTCAACGTCAGTGTACTTTTCTCTCTTTCCTTTAGTTGGAATCACCATCCATGGAAAATACTTCCTGGAAACGTTTTGGAATAGAAAGGGAAGAAGAAATAGAAAGTAAGCACCACATAAAGTAACCAATGACATGGAATAAATAATCTCTGTTTCATTTGAAGTCCACTCCAGGGCAGTCTCTACTGCCTGGCAAATCAATCCCTTTTTGTCCACTGTTCACCCCACACTGGTGCAGTGGCAGTGTCCCTTTGCCGAGATGCTGAAACACCCAGCTTGCCCATGAGGCGGTGGGAGGGTTGAATGAGATAAGGCACACACAGTGGGTGCTTGATAAATGGGTGTCATCTTATTATACATCCAGCAGGTTTTCAGAGATCCACAAGGTGTGATGCTGGGCCCTGCTGGACTGCAAAGGTGGACGAGACAGGCCCACTCCTGACTCATAAAGGAGGGAGATGAGGTTTGTGCACAGAGCACAGGGTGGCCGCCATCTGCTTTACTGAGGCATCCCAGCAACCAAGAGCATCAGCTACTATTTATTGAGCTTTTAATATGTTCCTGGCATTGCGCTGAGAACTTCACATGCTTTGTAAAGACACTCATTTGCATGGTAAGACCAGCTTGGACTCTGGAGCCAGACTGCCTGGGCTGGAATCCTGGTTCTAACATTTCCCACTTGTGTGGCCTTAGGCACATCTGTTAACCTCTCTGTGATGCCCTCTCTCTATCTGTAAAAGAGAAACAACAGCAGTACCTACCTCATCTGGATATTATGAATTGGATGTTTTAATGTCTTTAAAGCACTGCCAGGCGCATAGCACTAATGCATTAATGTGCCCAGCAACAGTACAAAGTAGCTTCTCTGTTGGGATGTTTACTTGTCAAGCTAGGAAACCAAGGCTTTGGTAATAAACGCACCCAGATCCCTTGCCAGCAGTGGTCTGTCTGCTGCTTGGAGGCCTGGGTGCTACCCACAGTGCTACATTGCCACCCAGTGCTGGGACTTGGCCTAAGGTCAGGGCCAGCCTTGCAGAAGGGTGGGCACTGATCCCAACCAGGTCCCTCAGCTCTAGGCCCTGTGAGAGCTACAAAGTTGTGTGAGATTACAGAGGCCCAGAGAGAGTGCTAAGGCATGGGGGTCCCCTGAGGCTGTTCTCTTGCTTGGGGCTAAGAGATTGGTGGTGACTGGTGCTTGGGGGAGTGGGGCCCATGGATGTATCTCTGGCTAGAGGAGAGGAGGATAAAGGTGGAGAGGAGGCCGCAGAAGGGCTTTTTTGTTTACCTGCATAGTCCAGTCCCTCCATTTCTTTTCTTTTTAATTGGGAGAAAAGGTCTTGCTCTGCCACCCAGTGGCATGATCATGGCTCACTGCAGCCTCAACCTGCTGGGCTCAAGCGATCCTCCCGCCTCGGCCTCCCAAGTAGCTGGGGCTACAGTCTCGTGTCACTACATCCAGCTAATTTTTAATTTTTTTTAGAGACAGGATCTTACTCTGTTACCCAGGCAGGCCTCACAGTCCTGGGCTCAAGTGATCCTCTCTCTTGCCTCAGCTTCCCAAAGTGTTGGGGTTACAGGTGTGAGCCCCAAGGCTGGCGACAATATCCATTTCTTAAAAGCAGAATGAATTCAGCTTCAGGGAAGCAAAGTTGGGCTGGATGGAATATTATACTCAGTAGAATGTCTGAGATCTCCCTCTGAGATGTCCCTCTTGCCACCTTTATTATGGGCACTTTAGAGGTGGCAACTTTGGGTGACACAGGCCCACCATCTTAAGGGTTACTGTCCACGTCCCCAATGCAGCTGTCATCTTCCCTAAGGGGAGGACCTGTGCTCCCCTTCGTCCTTAGATGTGGGGGTCTTGTTTAGATTTGTGGGGCACCTTGATTCCAAATAGTCCCATTTCTTTAATGAGCATTTAGGAAACTGTCAGATCATGTGTCCCAATGTTGGTTCAAGACTTGACACTTTGATAGACATGAACTAATTCCAGTGTCTTCTAGATTCATTAGTTAAAAATAGGACTTGGAGTTATGATAAACCATTTCAAATGGATTTAAATCAAATAGCAGAGTTTTGATAAAAAGTATATTTATTATAAAAGTGATCTTTTAACTGGTGAAAACTTGGAAGACAGGTAATTATAAAGAAGATAAAATAAGGTATCTAGATCATAACCCTGATTAGCATTTTGGTAGGTTTCTCTCTGAACTTTTCCCCTCCCTGCCTCCCTCCCTCCTTCCCTCCCTTCCTCCCTCTCTTCCTCCCTCCCTTCCTCCCTCCCTCCCTTTGTCTCTTCCTCCCTTCCTCCCTTCTCCCCTTTCCCCACTTCCCTCCCTCACTCTCTCCCTCCCTCCCTTCCTTCCTTCTCCTCTCTCCTCACCTTCCCTCCCTCCCTCCCTCTCCCTTCCTCCTCCCTCCTTCCTTCCTTCTCCCCTCTTCCTCTTTCTCTCCCTCCCTCTCTCCCTCTCCGTTCTCTCTCTCCTCCCCTCCTTCCCACCCATCCATCCATCCTTCACTCACTCATTTGCAAACATGTATTGAACTCCTATTGTACCAGGCACTGTGCTAATTGGAAGGCTCAATAAAGTGAATCTGGGGAGGACCAGGATACATCACTGCCAGGGATGACAGAGAATAAAGTGCTGTGATAGGGACATGGGGCATCCGATGCCTGACAAGAGAGGGACTGACTCTACCTGGACAAAGAGTGACCTCTGGCCTTGTGTGTGCCTTGCCATTGTTTCCTCTACAAAAGTGGGTCATCTGACCTGATTTTTTCAGTTAATTTTATGAGTATTTCCCCATGACCATTAATATTTAAAATGGCCTTTTAAGAGACAGCCTTCCCATTGTCTTTTGTGGGATTGCACTACTGAGCGACCCGTCTCCAACCTGTATTGGCAAAAGCTACGGACGAGAGAGGCCTCATGGAGAAGTGCAAAGGGAGAGGCCTTGGGGTCTGACCTGGCTCCCAAGAGCTCAGATTCCGGGTAGTCTCCTTTCCTCCCCCTTGTTCCTCCCCTTGGACCCCCTTTCACTCTTTCAGTCTGAACCTTAACAGAAGGATTCAGCCCGCCTAGGCGCTGGGCCCCACTTGCTGTGACCCGTCATTGTTTCTGCATGGCAACCAGGGAGCGCCTGCTCCCTGCCAAGCCCAGCGATCAGGACCAGAGTATGTGCAGTTCTGACCTGTGTTCTCCCCTCCCCTGGCAGAGAGAAGCTCAGTGACTGTCCTTGCGTCATTTGAGCAGAGCCCACAAAAGGCAGCTGCTGCCCACGGGGAGCCTGTCAAACGAGGGCCCAGTGGGCAATGTGAGCTGAAGTTCCTTGACCACAACAAGCCTACCAAACCCCACTGGCTTTCCCCCAACCACTGCAGGCTACAAGTCCCCCAGTGACCCTGACGTGCAGTGAGTCTTCCTGAACCCTGTCCCTGAAGCAGCCATCACGTGGGGTATGGATTCAATTTTATTTGCTCGCAGGTGTCTAATTGGCCCGGCACCACTGCCTTTGGATGCCGCTTGTGTCTGAGTCTACATCATTTGTCAGAGTTTTATGTATCTTTTTTCTGAGGTAGTAATAGTCATCCTCTGGACAAGATCCTAGAGCCTGGAAAGTTCCAACCTGAAAGTCTGTATCCAGGGACAGGACCCTGTTGGGCAGGATGACAACGAGGGAGTTTCTAGAGTGGGCGTTCACCCTGGAGGGGCCCTTGGAGATCAAGGAGTTCAGCGTCCTTGTTCCATACCCAAGGACACGTGGGCTTGGAGAGTTCATATGAATTGCAGCCATCTTCTCCACGGGAGGGAACACCGTCTCTGAGGCTGCTCATCTGTCCTGGAGCCCTAAGCAGGTGTCTGTGGGAGGGCACTGGCTGCTTCTCCCTGCAGTTCTTCCTTCTATACCTGTGTCTCGTGGCTTTCCTGCCCGCCTCAGAGGAGGATATCTGGGGCATATCAGGTATACACAGTCACCCACGTTCAGACTATGAAGGGCGTGGCCACTGCACGCAGGACCAGAGAACGGATTTGGACACGTCTGTAAATAAGCCGCAGGTTCACAGCACAGTGCCTTTCAAGGGAAGCACTGTAAGCTCACTGAGCAAGGGACCCAAGAGTCAAACCCTGCAACGTCACCCTGAGGGGGACCGGGAAACATTGTGTAGGGCGGTGACCCCAACTGGATGGTCAGACCCAGTGTGGCCTCTGCCGTGGGGGTTCAGCTGCGTGTTTCTCGGTCTGGAGGCCCCAGCAGGGCCTACGCAAGCTGTGGGGAGGAGGCTCCCCTGCTGGGGATTCTTTGACAGGGTGTTGGGTGTCAGAGGCCCAGGGCCAGAGCACCAGGGGCCCCAGTGGGAGGAGCCAGGTGTAGGGATGCCACCAACCAGCCCAGCAGCAACTGCAGGAGGCCCGCGGAGCCTAAGTTAAGGTAGTGTGGAAACATCTCGGAAGTCACCTCGGGAGCCTGGATGGAACATGCCATGTTCTGATTCAGTGGATCTGCTGTCTGAGACTCTGCATTTCCAACAAGCTCCCAGGAGTTGCTGGTGCCGCTGGGCTAGGAAGCACATCTTAAAGAGTGACACTTTTAGGCTACTTTTTTTTTCTACACCCTACTTCCAGCTTCTGATTTCTAGCCCTGGAGGTGTAGGCCACAGCCCTGAGTAGCCCCTGCCCTACCTGCTTCTCTCCAGGGTTCCCCAGCCCTCCACTCTTCTCCCAGGGTCATTCACATCATCTTTGATTCGGGGTTTTCTCTGTCCCCCAATCCCCCTCTCTTCTGCAGCACCTCTCAGATAACCCCTGTATTAAAATCACAGTGACCAGACACACATGCCCTGGCTGGGGGATCACACATGCGAACCTGCAGACAATTCCAGATACCCAAGGCCAGGAAGGCCCACGTGAGGATGTCACTCACCCTGGAGGAGACTTGGATGGGGTGGCAAATTTCTATTTGGAGGAAGAGGGTTTCCAGGATGGCAGATGCCAGAAGATGGTCCTGATGTCTGAGGAAGGGCCACCTAGTTTGACAGGATGGTAAGTCGTAAGCCCACTCAGATATTTGGCTGGGTCTTTCTGATGAGTGGAAGAGACTTCAAAAAATACTACAGAGTGTCCTTTCTTTCTCAGCAGCCAACAGGTGAAAAAACAGCTTTATTCCGAAAGAAAATGGTCTAGTCATTGAGGAGGACGGAGTGTATCCTGCAGGGCCTGCCTGGTCTTGCAGGACAGATTGGCAGAGAGGAAGTCTTGCCATGATGTCCTGCCTGTCAAGTGTGATGGGTAGGTCGCAGGGAAAACAGGCACTGCTGGGCTCCCCAGCAGCCAGTGCATCAAGGAAAGACCAGGGCCCAGGGGGAAGTTAACACACATAGAAAGATGCTGCATGTACTCATGTGTGAGATTGGGGTTCACTCTCGGCTATAGAAAGATGAGCTTTAGGCCAAATAATCACTATACAGGGGAATGATGGCAGTGGCGCACTGTATTTGGAAACTAGCTGGGCAGTGACAGAAATTGGCCCAAGAGAGGTATAGATGCAGAGGAGAGGAAGAAAAGTATTCTGAAGCCCTCGAGTGCAATGTCCACAAAGCAACAAGTTCAAACTTTCCAAGTCGATGCAAAGAATCCTGAGACGGGTGCATGAGAACAGTAGACCTGCAGTTGGGGGATTGCAGATGCCATGAGGAATTGCAGACTTTTGTCCATTGGATTCTTGAGATGTGTAAGGTTCCTTTTGTATGTGGGGCTCTACATGGTATATGAGAAAAGGTAAATGGGTAGATGGGCAGCTGAGTGGATTCTCAGCAGGTCGGGAGGACAGCAGGGTGGTCCTTAGTCTGACCCCAAGGAAGAGCCAGCAAAGAGGACGGGCGGCAGGTGGGAGCTGCCTGGCTCAGGTCCCCTCATAAGTGCTCTAAGTCAGGGGGTATGGGGATGGCTGCCGAGGGAGCATTTTATTTTATTTTATTTTTATTTTTTATTTTTTCTTTCTTTATTTTTATTGATTATTCTTGGGTGTTTCTCGCAGAGGGGGATTTGGCAGGGTCATAGGACAATAGTGGAGGGAAGGTCAGCAGATAAACAAGTGAACAAAGGTCTCTGGTTTTCCTAGGCAGAGGACCCTGCGGCCTTCCGCAGTGTTTGTGTCCCTGGGTACTTGAGGTTAGGGAGTGGTGATGACTCTTAACGAGCATGCTGCCTTCAAGCATCTGTTTAACAAAGCACATCTTGCACCGCCCTTAATCCATTTAACCCTGAGTGGACACAGCACATGATTCAGAGAGCACAGGGTTGGGGGTAAGGTCACAGATCAACAGGATAAGAATTTTTCTTAGTACAGAACAAAATGAAAAGTCTCCCATGTCTACCTCTTTCTACACAGACACGGCAACCATCCGATTTCTCAATCTTTTCCCCACCTTTCCCCCCTTTGTATTCCACAAAACCACCATTGTCATCATGGCCCGTTCTCAATGAGCTGTTGGGCACACCTCCCAGACGGGTGGTGGCCGGGCAGAGGGGCTCCTCACTTCCCAGTAGGGGCGGCCGGGCAGAGGCGCCCCTCACCTCCCGGACGGGGCGGCTGGCCGGGCGGGGGGCTGACCCCGCCACCTCCGAGGGAGCATTTTCGTGTGCCCCATATCACTGTCCAATGAGACACACAGAGACCTCTCTTAGCCCAAAGCAACAAGGCATGGCACTTCTGAACACTTGAGAGGACAGAGGAAATTTGCACTCTAGAAAAGCAGCGTGGAAGTCAAGAGATCCTCCTGCCTCTCTTCCCAAAGGGCTTTTCTGGCAGATTTCCCTACCAGCTGACATACCCCAAGCCCCGCCTGCTTCTCTCCAGGGCTCCCCAGCCCTCCAATCTCCTCCCAGCATCATTTGCATCATCTTTGATTCAGGATTTTGCCTGTCCTCTCCTCTCCTCTCCTTCCGCAGTGAGAGGCTCACAGGTTCCCATCACTTCTCCAGCCATTCCAAGTCTTGGTCCTTCCTTTCCCCCCGACAGCCCCTGTTTCTGTCCAGGCCCTGAGATCCTGCAGTTTCCTAACTGGTCTCTTGGCCTCTAGGCACTCTTTGCTCTGCTCTAGGGCCCCTCAGACACCTCTTTGGGGGCATTTTTCTCAAGCACTAATTTGGCCCAGGTCAAACAAACCTTTGGTGGTTCCCAATTGCCAACAGGTTGAAAGTCCAAACTCTTTAACTTAGCTTTGCGGTTCTCTGAACCCTGCTCCCGGCTCTTCTTGCCTCTTCCTGCACTGGTTTCCGGCACAGCCATTGCATTTCTGCCTAGCTAACTTCTTCAATTCATCCTGAACGCGCCATGCTTCCCCCTCTGATCTCCCAATGCATGGATCTTTCCAGCCAAGGTCCATTTCAGCTTCCAAATCAAGTTCCACTTTTAAGTGGTGACATTGCCTATTGGGTGCCAGGCTCCCTTGGGATTTAAGGTCTGGGGAATTCAGATGCAATTCCACTTTGCATGCTTTCCTCAGAGGCTTGTGACTGCGTGGCCGTCACAGCCTCCTGGTTTCTGCCTTCTGTACATCTGTCTGCTCGTTTACCCCATCATCTGGGTGTAAGATGCAGTCAAAACTCAACTACACGAAATACTTAGGGGTCGTGTTTTGGTATTGTGGAGAACTGGGGATTTTCTGGAGAAACCCAGCCTTGTATATGGCAAACATACGCGCACACACAAGTATTTTTAAAAACATTCTTCCTGCCCCCTTGCCACTGGAATGTTCTCTTAGCCCCAGGTTGGCATCCGGCCTCAAACTTTTGCTGCCGTGGCTCTTTTTGCTCACACTCTTCGACCTCTCACTCAATGACTCCTCCCACCCCTTCTCCCAAGCCAACCCTCTGTACCCTCCCCGCCCCCCAAAAAAGAAAAATCAAAATCCGTCTGCTTGTCTCATGCAGTTTAGTTCACCCTCTCCTCTGAGCCTTGGAATAGATAGCATTAGAACTGTGGGACCTCACCTTCTGCCGTATGCTCTGGTCAAACTCTCCCACCCCCACCCAAGCAAATAGCATTCTTTAAGAAGGCACCAGCTATTCAGGCATGCCCCATGTACTTGGTTATGCCTGTGCGACATCACTCCATGGCTCCCTGGTTCAGCCTTTCCTGGGGTGGTCCAGTTTCAGGATGGGCCCAGACCGGACTGTTAATTCTCTTTGTGCCAAGCCTTACGTCTTGCACTTGGGCAGTGGGGCAGTGACCACTTTTGATAGGGACAATGATGGTAGTATGAGGGCCCACCGCTAAGTCACTCTGGGAGCTTTTTTTGAGAGGAAGGTAGAGTCTGCTACCTCTTTAAGAGTACTCTAAAAGTGCCAGATGGCTCAGGTGCCTGAAAAATCTCCTACAAAAGGAGGACACACAAGAAGATGAAAACACAGCCAGATAAGGAGAGGGGCTCCCAGGATCGCTGGAGGAAAGGGAAGTCCATCCCTGCAGATATGGTAGGGGGAAGCCCTGGGGCTGCCTGTCCCAAGTTTCATTCATTCATTCAAAAATGTGTGTCTGAGTCCTACTCTGTGCCAGGAACAATTCTAGAAACTGGGAACACACCAGTGGACAAGACAGACTTGGTTTCTGCTTCCATGGCGGTTATACTAAGGGTCCTCCCTTAAATCAAGAGACCACCCCTCATATTGTCTTATGCCCAATTTCTGCCTCCAAAGAAAGAAGTAAAAACTAAAAGGCAGAAATGAAATCCACAAGCAGACAGCCTGGCACCACACCCTGTGCCTGGTAGCTAAAGATGGACCCCTGACCTAATTGGTTATTTGCATAAAAAAGCGCTGTGAAGATCCCTGTCCTGTTCTGTTCTAATTACCCGTGTATGCATCCCCCAGTCACATACCCCCTGCTTGATCACGACCCTCTCATGTGGACCCCCTTAGAGTTGTGAGCCCTTAAAAGGGACAGGAATTGCTCACTCGGGGAGCTCGGCCCTTGAGACAGGAGTCTTGATAAAGCTCCCAGCCGAAGAAACCCCTTCCTTCTTTAACTCGGTGTCTGAGGAGTTTTGTCTGCGGCTGTTCCTGCTACAATACTAACCAAAAGACAGACATCAGGCAAATAAAAATCTTGTGGTTGTGCCGAGAGCTCTAAGGGACAATGGAGGGATTGCCCAGTGTAACCCACAAGCTCAGGCCGTAGTCAGTACTGAATCAAATTCATAGGGACAGGAAGGGATGTGGGTGGGGCCAGGGATGACCAGGAGGGAGGCTCAGGAGAAATGGCCAACAGGTGATATGTGTCCCAAGTCCATCATGAGGGAAACCTTACTAACAAAGAGCCTGGAGCCAATTCCCCAGGGCTAGATACCCTCTCTGGGACTGGACTAAATGATTGCTAAGAGATTCTTAAAGCTTCTTGGAAAGAAATGCGGGCAGGAAAGATGATGAGTTTTAATGGTTCTAATTTGTATTTTTTGCTTATTTCACTTAGCAGGAAGAGGCTTCTGGCATGGAAACAACTGATTTCATAGAGAACCCGCAGCTGGATTCAAGTTCAACCCAGAAAAATAGACAGTGAGGGCTACCTGAAGTTTGGGGAGGGATTGCATTTGTTCCAGCCTCATGAGTCACACAGTATTACACCATCCTTGTGGGACAACTTCCATAAGTCTTTTTGGGGCAGTGACCTGCCAGAGTTTCTTGTGGGGAAGGGCTTAGAGTATGGCTCTTTCTTCGTAGGAATAATTTGAAGCCTGGGATGCTGCTATCATTTTTACAGAGACTTTTTTCTTCTTCTGACAGATGCTGCTGGCAGTACCAGCCTGGGACACCATAATCCAAGTTCACAGCTTGAGTTTCCCTGGATCAACCTGACAACATGAAGCTAAGTTCCAAGTCCATGGAGGGTTGGTTTACTTCAGGCTCACCCTTATTCTGAGAGTATAGCCCTTCAGAGTTAGTGTAAAGGAGATGAGGGGACCTATTTGGGTCCCCAACTTTGGTGGCGCTGGGCCGTGACTTTTGTCTGTGAGCCATCAGACAGGCAGTGCATTTATGAGCACATTCATTTGGATCCACCAGTGGCCTCAAGGCGACAGTGGCTTTGAGCGCTGGGCTTACTGTCCTGCATTCTCTTCTCTGTGACTGACTCTGCCCTGTCATTCTTCACTGTCTTGTTATTCTTGTTATCTCTTAGATGTCTTTAAGAAGACTGTTCTTTTTTTTTTTTTCTTTTGAGAAATGTGGCTTTGCTTTGTTGCCCAGGCTCCTGTGCTCAAGCGATCCTCCTGTCTCAGCCTCCCAAAGTGCTGGGATTACAGGCATGAGCCACCGCGCCTGGCATTTATTTATTTATTTATTTTCAATATCCCACCCTGCTTTCATAACTGTCCTCAGAGGATAGTTCCAATGGCGTTGTGGGCCATTTCGAGAAGGGGAAATCTTAGCTACTTTTCTCCACCTTTCCTTGTGGTGGGGCTTCTTGCCAGGCTGGGGAAAGTGGAGTGCAGCAGAGCCTGGGGGAGGGGAAAGGGCAGAGGGGAAGGTGGCTGTGCCCTAGGGTGTGAGCGGAGGAGGTGGGTGCTTCTGGTCTACCCAGAAGAGCCTCCAGAACCGGCATCTACATTCATCTGCCACGGAGTCCATATTTCTTGAGGGGCTTGGCAGATAGGGACAGCCCAGAAAGAGAGAGGAAGAGTCACGAGTGCCAGAGTGGCCTGCAGAACTCAGAGGATCAGAGAGCGGGGGGGTCAAGCACCAGGGAGGCCCCTCTGCAGACCATGCTGATGGCCTGTGGGACAGAAGTCTTTCTTTCTTTTGTAACGATTACCTTGGCCTTAGACTTTTACCATTTTTGGATGCCAAAGAAAATCAGGCTTCTGAGCTTGCGAAGGCTGAGTGGAGTTCCATGTGTCTCCTCTGGCCTTCATATGGCTTCCAGGAAGAAGCATCCCCTTTAACTTCATAATTCCACAGGTCTTCTGTCAGTTTGTAAGAAATCTATCTATTCACTTATTCATTCATTTCACAAATATTTACTGAGCACCTGCTAGGTGCCAAGTCCTATTCTGGGCACTGAGGACATACCAGCCTCCAAAACAGACAGAAAGAAAAAGCCCGCCCATGTGGATTTCACATTCTCAGGAATGTTTTCCTGCATGAGGATATGTTTAGAAATCTTTCACCCACCTAAGTCATCAGGATAAGAGTTTGCTCTGCTAGTACTACAGATTCCACAACTGCCTGCCAGGTTTACTTGCTTTTGTGCAAGGAAGATTTTCTCTCCAGGACTCGTATTTTCCAACAGCCCAAGGTCCATGGAGTTTCTTTAGCTTCTATCACTAGCCTTCTGGGAGTGGGCAGATCCCTCTGCCAAGTTTACACCTGCAGGGTGAGGCGGGTTGCATAGCAAACCAGAGCTCAGTGTTGGGGCCCACAAGGCTTCCATCAGGGGAAGAATGCTGGTGGAGGGTGACGGGTGGGTCTCTCTAGATGTTCAGAGGGGCCTGTGGCTTATTGCCTGGGTGGGCCAAAATGTCAGCTAAGGGAACTACAGCAGAAGGTCATTTAGCTGGAATGTTAGGATCTGAGACCAGGTAATGACTTTGCTGGGGTTTAGATGTCTGTCTAACTTCACAGGAGTACAGAGATTGAAAAAACACTTGATCCAGGCACAATATCTTCTGGATACATTCATTTGCATTCTCTTTCTCTTACACAGATTAAGAAATGGGATGCATAACATATTTGCATGATTGCAATTTATCACTTCCCCAGGGAGCAGGGAGGGGCTGCCTCAGTTCTAGTGAAGCCCTTGTGCCTCAGCATTAGAGGTAGATGGGTGAGGCAAGGGCGATTTCATGCCTTCCTTGAGGCAAGATGTCCTCTTCTAGACAAGAGGGCAGCTTGTGTGTCTTGAGGGCCATGCTTCTCCACCTACCCCCATGAATAAAGCAGTGGGGGTCCCCCAGGTGTGGCTATTTTTGGGGATTATTTTAACAGGAATGCAGAGAGGCTATAGATCAGGTTCGACAATTTGCTGCCTGCCAACACACACTTTACTTGTGTTTTAAAATGTAAGCTCTGGAAACATCCTATGGGGTTCACAAGGATGCCTTAGCAGCTGACTGAAGGAAGTGTCTTTCTCCAGCCCAGGTAGCATTTCTGCCAGTCATGGCTGGTGCTGGGCTGACAACAGTAGTTTTCTTTCTAAGACCCAGTTCCCCTCTGGAAGGAGAATTCTAAAGGTGGAGGAAAAGCATCATCTCTTCTAGAACCTCTTTGTTTTTATCTTTCTTATACCACATTAGCATGGTGGTATTCTCCAAGGATCTTGGCAGGCAAGAACTGGTTTGGTCACTGTATTTGATTGCTTTTGTGGAGTCCAATAAAGAGGACTATTGTTTCTAGAAGGTCACTGGAAACATGCATCTGGCTCTTTGGTAAACACAATATTAAGACCAGTGTGAGGCTGAGGGTGTCCTGAAGCCCTGCTCTGAGATAAGAAGACTTCTGTTCACGATTTCAGTCAGAATCAAACAAGGTATGCCCAGAGCTGAGACACAGCTGAGCCAAACAGGAAGAGAGGGCCGTGTCCTACAATAAACTGCTGATATGTATCTCTCTACCATGTGCTGAATTCATTAGGGCAAGGGCTGGGTTCTTCTCCAGCATTCGTATCCCATCCCTTTCCAGTAGCTGGACTACTTAGGACACTCTCCGTAAGTTTTTGTGAATTAAATTGTATCCTCAGATACCTCCTTAGAATTTCCAAATCTGTCTTCAAATTCAAATGGAGATACACATAGCAGAGGCTGACACCTCCAAAAGAGTTTGGAGGAAGTTTACCAATATGTTACCTTCGTTTGCATTTCCACCTTATTCTCTCTTTCCCTCAGTTATTAGTACTCAGAATTGTAAGTGCTTGGGTGTCTAGTCACTCAGTTGACTGATAGAAGAAAACTCAGTTCTTTGAGATTATGTCAGGGTGGACCAAACTGTGGTAACAAATAGACCCAAAATATAATGGTTCAAACACAAGAGATGTTTATTTCTTTCTCACATAATATTCCAAGGCAGACATTCCAGATTGTTGGAGTAGGCGCAGGGAGAAAGTTCGGCTCTATGCGTTCCCTCAGGAAACAGGCTGATAGTGGCTTTGCCATATTCCAATATTAACTGGCTTCCAAAGTTGCTATCACCATTGTCATTATCAGTATAGCTCATGGGACCTGGGGAAGAACACAGAGGAGAACATCTGGGAGGTCTTATGGCCACTTGGAAGTGGCGTGCACCTCTTCTGCTCACATGGGAAAGAACATAGTCAGACACACTCAAACATCCTGACTGGGAAGTGGGGGAGTGTACCTAGCCACCTTGGAAATGGAGGAAAATTTGGGTGGAAGTAGAGAGACTCAGGTTCTTGGATTTGGAAGAGACCTTAATTGTGAACGCATCCAGTGGCCAACCCAGGATAAGCCCTGGCCTTCCTGCTGGATTGCTCCCTGCCCCCATCATGTATCTCGGCTGACTTTCTGATCTAGGAATACTAAGCATCAATCAGTGGAAGGAAAGCAGGAAGGGTCTCTTCTTTCAAATACATTCTTTGCCACTTGATAAAAAATGATGATACAGAAGAAGGAGAAAATAAATCCAGAGAAGCTGCCTGCATGGGGAAACTTGTTCTTTGTGGCCCTGTGAGGCTGAGATTGTGCCTCACAGAAGGGGCTACGTCACTGATGATGTTACAGGATCTCTAAAAACCACAGTTACTGCTTGAATCATAACTGCTGCTTCCAGTTGGCTGTGGTTGCATTTCTAGAAGGATAACTACTTTTTGTCATTCTGGAGACAAGCCAACATCAACCCACACGTGACTTTAGAAGGCTTTTCCACGTCCTAATTGCCTACCTCCTGAATAGGCTTTCTTTTAAGCTTGGTTGGCTTAACTTCTCCCATCCATCCCATTTCTACACACCCTCTCCATACCCCCACTATAACTTTCTCAGGCAAACCCTGCAGTCCTGACTCGCTGGTATCTGTTGATTGTGTTTGGACTCTCATGTCCTGCCACTGCCCTTGAGCTCTTATTTCACCTTGTGCAGACCACCCCAGTCATCTCACCCTCTCTCTAGGTCACTTGTGGGCACTTATCCATTGCCTGGATTATTGCATATGTTTGTTCAATATTAATCATGTCTTCTCTGTGATGTTGTATACTCCTTGAGCATTTGGGACTTTCTCAGGCTTGAACGTGGTGCAGTGAGCATTCTGTACACATTTCTGGACAATGGCAGTCTTGTGAGAATCTGGGAGACTCTGCAGTGACTTGAGCCGGAGATGCAGATGAATGTAATTGTTGGACGGTGGGGATTGATAAAACCTCTCTTACTGGTGGCTAGGAGCAGAAGAGGAGACTCAGCAGCAGGAGAGAACAACAAGAGGAAGGGCTCCCAACTACACTCAGCATCAGTGAACCCCACCGTAGCTGGATCATATCTGAATTGGCCACACCCTGGGGCCTTAGACTGTCTGGGCAATGGCAGGGTGCTGGCAGTTGGAGGGATGCTGCTAGAGGCTGACAGTGTTCTTACTGGAAACACTCAGCTCAATGGATAGGACAACAGCTTCCCAAGGAGATGGGGGAGCAAGGCCAAGCGAGGAAAGCAGGACTTGTGGAGGGCTTTGGGCCACCTCACCTACTTTCCCTGCTTCTTCCCCCCAGGGGCCTTGCAGACAGTGCTTCTTGCCCAGAGAGAGTAAAGGGTGGGATGGGGAGAGGGCATCATTCATTTCTTGTGTCTGAGGTGAACGAGTGTGAGATGAGCTCCGGCTCACTCTCTTCAAGCTGGAACTTAAAGGACTCCCAGCTGCCCCTACACTCCAGTCATTCATGGAGTGAGTGCCAAGCTCATCTCTATTTGAAACTCAGGGTCTCTCTGGGAGCCCAGAATTCCTGAGCAATTGTTTTATGAGGTGTAAAGTGTTTCTTCAGCAGGGAGGATGATGCGGGGCAAGGCGAAGGCTTAGAAAAGACAGTTCTACTGTGCAAATTGACTACAGACCTGGATAGGAAATAGGGAAACAAGCCGCATGCCTCATAGCAGGTTCCCTGGGAAATTCCCTCCTCTCCTAATGTCTTTCCTACAGGCACCCCCCATCCCGGTGGGCTATGAGATTTTGCCCCCTCAACCTGAGAACTGACAGGGGGTAATCAGGGTGAGCGCTGGAGAAGCACAAGTGAGATTCTGAAGAAGCGCAAGTGAGACTCTGGAGACCTCTGTAGCGTGAACTCTCTGCTGAGACCGTTCAACTTGTGCCTTTCTTACGGCCCAAGTTCCAGCAGCACATTTTCCAGTGTGGGATCCCTCTTCCCTGGCAGCAGCTCTGCCAGAGCCCTGGGTGTTTACTGTGACACACCATAGAGAAACGGGGAAGGAAGTCAAGTCCATCATGACATGTCTTAGTTCTGGCCATTTCTAACACCTAAGAAGAGGCTGACAGAGTGCCCGAGGGCCCCAGGGACACCACCCATCTCCCAAGGGGGTGCTTTTTAGATTTCTCCTTGCCACCCAGCTGTGAGGTATGAAATAATTTAGTAGGCCTTGCACCATTGAGAATAAAAGGAGAACAGACAATTTCAGCACGCCTGGCACATAGCAGGGTAAGTATTGTTTGGTGAAACTTACATTTCCTCTCTAGGTACACCAATAGGTGCAACGCGTACCCACATAAGATGTATTTCTTATTGTGGTCCTGGTTAAAAAAAGCGTCTAAGTGGTTCTATTACAGCATCTCAGCTGATTCCAAGTATTCAGGGAATGAGGGTGGAGCACAGAATGGGAGTGGGGAGGAAGGTCCCAAAGAACGGGTTGAACTTTTCTGCCTCCTGAGCTAAACGTAGTCTCCCCACCTCCCTGAGGATTTAAGGGCCTTTGACTCAGCCTTTTGGGACCTGAGAGACCACCATAAGCCTTGTGCTTTGAATACTTCTTGCAGCAGGCCCTGCCAAAAGTACCTGGATGGGAAGGGCTGCCCTTTAAGAACTTGAATTTAAAGGACTTCAGTGGTTAGTTGTAAAAGTGAATGACGTACCAAGGGCTTTTATTTATCCCTAGAACTCCTGTAATTTCCAAGATGCATAGACTGGAAGAAGATAGCCCTGCTACTCATACTTGAAAGAAAGGAGGAGAGGAGAGGTTGGCCCACCTCCCTCCTGCTCTCCCTCCCTTTCCCAGGCCTCCTTCTCTCTCTTTGCCTTGTCCCTAGCAGGGAAGGAGATTGGAACAGGCAGCCTTTGGGGACTGTGGGACCCTCTTCCTGATAGGTCAGATCCACAGTGGCCCAGGAAGGCCCTACCTGGACAGCGAATAGTGTCTCTAGGGGGAGGGAAGTTTCCTCCAGGTGGGACCTTTGGTCACATGGCCTCACATGGTTTATGTCTCAGAGTGACAGGTGTCGCTTGTTATAAGACACAAGAGTAAAAAGCAAAGAGGAGCAGACAAAGGCAGGTCCTCAAGGGAGGTGGGCTCTGCAGGATTCCCTAAGAGCCAAAAAGGCACAACAAGGGAGCCCAGTGGCACTGGTAGGCTTCTGAGCATAGGCATTCCAGGGCTTTGTTATTATTTTTTCCAAATGGAAACCTCTTTAGAAGATCAACTGTCATAATTTGCCCAAGCTACAAGCTCAAACATGGCTAAGAAACATTGCTCAAGGTCATTTCCAAAAGCACGTTCTTCCAGCTTTTCGAGGTCGGGGCGGGGATTTGTGTTCTGTTCTCATTTTTGCTTGTGTCTTTGCCCATGGTTGAACTGAAGAGGTCTCTCCAGGCCCAGTGTTCACCGGAAGAAGGGGAGATGGGAACTATTCCCAGCCACTCTTCTCTCAAGAACTGATGGGGAGTCATGGGTCCCTGCCCCACTTGTCCATGTGAGAGGGAAGCAGGTGTGCTTTTACCAGAAAGAGTTCTCGAGGGGTTAGCACCCCAGGAATGCATCTATGCTGACTCTGCTTATCATGACTCCCCACCTTCAAAATACATCTTAGGGTCACCGCACATCCCAGAAAGTGGCAACACAGGGGCACCCCTCGATGTGCCGAGTATCCAGAGTCACGTTCTTGGAAGGCGTGACCAGCGTGTAATTTAAGCAAATGGAATCTTTCCCAAATGTCTTCTTTTACAACTGAAAAAACAAATTAAGCAACAGAGGAAAAACAAATCCAGAGAAATAGCCTCTTCCGGGGAAGTCTGACCTCCCTGTCTAGAAGGTGAGGACAGTGCTGCGGCCGTGTTTCTGCTGGCTCCGGCCCGAGGCTGTCTCCCAGACAGCTGCTGTCCCACTGAATTAGGTTCAAGCGAACACGGCCATTGAGATCCAAAGTATTTCTGGCTGGTTTGGGCGTGGGTCCTTTCTCTAGATGAATATTTTAATGTGGGAATTCAGAGGAAAGCTATGGGGAAAGCAGTGTTGGTCAACTGACGACGCTAAAGAACCACCTTCGGTGGTTGTCACGGTGAGTTTGGCACTGAAGGCTCTTTGCTGTTCTGACCTGAAGCTCTCTGTTAGGACTTCCTGCTATTTTTCTCACAAGCCCTCATTTTCGCTGACAGTTCAGATCATGCCCTGTGCATATCCAGTTCCCCCGGTAGGCACGGCTCCTCCTTTCACCTCAATGCCCCGCTTTCCGCTCGGCCCACACTGGACTCTTGCTACCTCTTGTTTTGGCTTATGTTTAATCTTACTTTTTTAAAGCAACATCTTCTGATTATGAAATAATTTATACTTTTTTTTTGCAGAGAATGTGGAAAATACAGAAAAGTATAAGCAGAAGCATAAAAATTATTCACAGTTGCACCCTTGGAGGGAGCTGTCCTATAAATCTTGGTGAATTTGCTGCCCTTCTTTTTTCTGTGGATCTGTCTATTACATGTGATAGTTTTTAAAGCTGATGTCATGTTATTGATGTAGTTTTGCTTCTTGCTTTATCCATTGAAGACTATAATGTGAGAAATTTCCTCGCTGGGGCTCTTCCCAAACCTGATATTTACTGACCACACCAATATTCAATTGAATGAGGGAGTGTCATAATTCAATCACTTATAGTTTCCAGAAACGTTGTGCTCATTTACATTTTCCTTAGCAGCATATGAGGGTGCATGAATCCCATCATCACAACGCAATGGAATTAGGGAGAAATGCCAGTGAAAGATGAAGAGAGATGAGGCAGGACTAGCAGGAGCGCCTCAGACCCTCATTTCTGCAGGCAAGAAAGGAAAGGATCCTGTGGAAGGGTCTCCCACTGCTGTGTGATTCTAAAAGCTTTGGGCAGGGGATAGGGAGTCTCCAAACCAAAGCCTGGTGGCCATTCTGTGACAGGCAGGAGTGGGCTGCTATGAGGACCCTGGTCATGTTGAAGCTTTGGCGGGGGGTCACCAAGAG
This sequence comes from Homo sapiens, assembly GCF_000001405.40. NCBI lineage: Eukaryota > Metazoa > Chordata > Mammalia > Primates > Hominidae > Homo > Homo sapiens. The sequence continues at coordinate 92,595,129 of NC_000015.10, read as the reverse complement.
GTGGATAGCTGGAGCTGTCAGTCAACTCTGCTTCCCAGGGGCAGATTCTCTCAAAACAGACCAGAACTATAGCCCTTGCTCTCCCATGCCCACCCCACTTCACCTGATAAACAGGAAATATAATTAAAACATATAATTATGAACTGTGAAAATGGTCTAATTTTGCTGGTTTTCATTCTTCTGATTAACCTTGATGTCAAACATTTCTCATGAATTTTGTTACATACTTGTACTTCTAAGAATTGTGTGCCTGGGTTCTCTGTTTGCCCGTGATTGTTTTCTTTATTGATGTTTTAAGAGGATTTGCGGCATTAAGCCTGTTAACTCTTTCTCCATTCTCTTTCATATTTTAACCAATTTATCACTTCTCTTTATATTTTATGTAGGATGTTTGGATGTTTTAGAATAACTCACTCTTCTGTTAAGATCACTTTTATTTACTTCATGTTCAGAAAATTCTTGCTCATCCAGGCTCTAGTTAAATATATGCCAGTATTTTATTCTAGATACTTTTGGATTCTTTTTTTTACATTTAATACACTGGGGTTTTATTTCAGTGTATGAGGGAGGGATCAAACTTGATTATTTTCCCCCCTTTTAGCCACATTTTCCAATTTTACTTTCAGATAATTTAACCATTAACCATTTCTTCCTGGTGATTCCTTTCTGAGATTTAAATTTTTAAAATATGTATGATAGATCTCAGGACTATCTGTTTCTACTTCATTGGATGATCTACAGAATCTTGTACCACCAGCACCACACTGTTTTAATTATTGTATCAAGAATAATACAGTTAGATATCTCTTAGGGACAGTATCTCCTTGATATTCTTTAAGCAGTTCTTAACTCTTCTCATCCTTTTTTTCCCTTCCAGATGGACTTTCATCAAATTCAAAGAAAAAAAAAAGATTCCACTGGGATTTAATTCAGATTGCATTTCACCGAAAAATTACAAGGATTAACAACAAGGATTAATAGCATTGCTGCATTCATTATGGCAACCCAAGGTTATGTCTCTCTATTGACTATTCTCTTTAATTAATCTGTGTAAAAAGTTTGCATTTTTAATATAGGTCTTGGATATTTCTTATTAGTGTTCTTTATATTTTTTTCCAATACTCTTAAGAATGCATTTTTCTCCCTATATTTTCTGCTTGTTGTTAGAATAGAAACAGTATTTATTTTGGAGATTTTTGTATTTTTATCTTGTATCTGACCCCTTCCCTAATTTTTATGAATACTAAGAATTTTACAGTCAGTACTTTTATATTATCTTGGTGCATAATCATAATGTAGTCTGTAAGTAACAAACATTTTGTTTCCTTCTTTCTATTGTAGAGTTTGAGAAGTCGTCAGTGTGTAGTCCTGTTACCTTAATTGTTTCTGAGTTATGGGTTGAATTTATTTTGAAATTTCAAAAAACTTCAAAGGGTAGTATGTTATTTTTGTGTTAATCAAAATGAACAATGGGTTTCAAAAGCTTGAACAACGTCATCTTGGGAGTGCCAAATGAATAGGATGTCCTGTATGTCAGGAGCATGCCCACACTTTTCTTGCTAGGGTGAGTTTATTGTCCCTGATGAATCCCAGGAGTACTAGTCCATGATGCTCTTATTCCCTGGTGCTTTAACATGCAGTGCAGCCGGAGTTGGCCTGAACTTTAGGAAATGAGGTCGTAAGTCGAAAGAACAGGGAATTGAGAAAGCACACAGAAGCAGCCAGGGCCAACATTTTCCCCTAAACAAGCCAATCAACAAAAAGCAATGCCAAACAAGCCCCTTTGAAACTTTCAAAGTCCTCATCCTAGTACCTTCCTAGCACTCTAGGAGACATCTTTCAGCTGTTGATTTATGAACGCTGAGAGGCACGTGGAGGAATTAATGGAGGTAAATATCTAACTTAAAAAATCTTCAGTAGGCATTTTTAGACAATCCTCCTTGAAAGAAAAGTGTGGATGCTCTGTGCGTGTATTGACTGCACCTGCAGGGGTATAGCTGGAGAACACCCAGTGAGCATCTTCAGGAGCCAAGTCACGCAGGGGCTTAGCTCTCAGTCCATTGCGACAGTTGCCATGATGCCTTCTGACCATTAAACACTTTGAACTCTTTTCTCTCATCCTCTGTTATTTGCTTTGGACCCATAACAGACTCATTAGTTAAAAATAAGAAGCAAAGGTAATCCTGATGTTGAATTACAAGTTAATGCAGAGCACAGACATGAAAATAATTCTATGGGTTTGCTGCAGCATAATCCTTGCCAGATCTCCAAGTTCCATTCATCTAATGAAAAGCCTTAGTTTGAAGAACATTTTGGAGAACTCTTACATCAAGAGGTCTCCAGTACCTCAAAAACCAGTGTTCAAAAGGAAAATGCACACGCGCATTTCAGGGAGGTGGGAATAAAAGCCTTCCTTTGCGCAGCGTGTTACATGTGGAAATGTGGAACGCACACGATCATTCTTACTGTTAAAAAACCCCACAAAGATTATAAAAATATGTCAGTTTTTTTTTGGTGCAAAAACTCACACGATTAAAAATATTATACTATGAAAGCAGCTTTGATCTATTCTTCAGTCATTTCTGTGACGTGTGGTTAAATTTAATCTGTTTAAATTTTTTATTTGATTCTTCCAAACCAAACACAATATCTCATTTTAAAACGTATCTGCTGACAGTGGTTTTTCTTCTCGCCTGAATCATGCTGAGAACAGGTGTAACCAGATGTCCTCTTAGCCTACAAACACATTTCAGAAAATCATTATAAGATGCTCAATTAACTTTGAGCAAAGTAGTTTCCTGTATCCTTCAAAGAAAGACATGTTTTCAAAATGTCACTGCAGTAAATAAAAGTGTTGACATGCTGTGTAGGGCTATTAGTTATGGGGCCAGAATTCAAAATAGCTGATTGGAAGTAGGGCCAGTTGTCTATCAAAGTATTTCTAATTTATGGCAACGAAATCATGTTATCTGCATAGAACAGAACTCAGCTCTCCCTACTTCTCTGTGATGGGGGATCTATACTGTATCTGGCTCATCTAAAAGTGGTTCCAAATCACTAACAAATATGAATGGGTGTTAGACTATGCTCCTATTCACCCCCACTGGAAAATCTTATCTGATAAAAGACAGTTTTGATGTCCTTTGCTTTGATGTTAAAGTATGGGCTTCCTGAATACATCAATACAGGGGTCTGAACTGATCTTAGTACATTTCAAAGCATTTCTTGTCAATGGGAGTCAAAACTCAATGCAAGCTACAGCCTCATGTTATTCCTAAAAGATTTATCTTTGGAGTAATAAACAGTAAGCCAATTGTCCTTAAGACCACTACACTTAAATCCTTGGTTCTCGTATACAACATTAGCTCCAGACAGCTATAACTGGATGTAATCAAGAAAGAAATGGCATTAAAAGTTAAAAAAATTTAGAATTATAAAAGCATGAAAATAGCTGCTTACTATAAAAATGTTAAATACGAGACTCTACATAATAAAAAGTGAAAGCTGTAATTTACCTGCTCCCCATCTCTCCTTCTCCCCAGTGCAACTCTCCTCCCTGGGTCTGCAGGACAAACTCTGGTCCTCCAGCAAGGATTTATTTTATCTGAAGTTTATTTACGGCAAAGAGATTTTTATAATTAGTACTGTGATAAGACATGGTACTCTTTGACCAGGAATATTTTTGGGGGTGTGGGGGAGGGGGTTAGGACTCGAGTTCTTATGAAACAGCCACAAGGAGTTTAATTAGAAGGCACAATCACTTGCTAGGTAGCAAGAGAAAAAATCCTGCCCCTCACTGTTTCCTGGAGATTGCTGTCGAGGGTCTGTGACAAATCAACACAGGGCCACTGCGGCTTGGCATACTTAGTTTCCTCATCATCCAAATCAACTATTGCAAACACCTAAAAAAGAGTGAGAAATGGAGCCAGATGGGATATAATCTATGATCGTGGCCCCAGAGTAGAAATGAGGTTGGTTTTTTTCAGATTTATGCCATGTACCGCATTGAATGTTATCAATACTGTACATGAATACAAGGGTTGAGGGTTTTTGTTTCCATTAAGAATCTGTTTCCAGGAGAACAGCCCATGGGAAAGTATTGTCCTTTTTCAACTACAAATATGGAGGGCCCCATTGCCTATGTTAAAAAAAAATCTCAGAATTTTGGCTTAGGCAATAAACTCTTTAATGGAACATACAGAGTAAATAAAAGATCTCTAAAGGGAGACCACAGGCCCCAAGCAGACAGAATGGACCAAACATACAGAAGGAATGTAAATATAGCTGACTTCAGTTTTATTTTATTTTATTTTTAAATTGAGATAAGCTAATTTCTTCCCTTGAAAAACCCACTTGAGCATCCCTCTTAGTTATGCAGAAACAGAGTAAGCACTCATTATATTTTATGGATTTAAAGTGCTCCAGAACCTTCTGAGACTTGCCCTGAATCTCCTGAATGCAAAGCTAATTATATGAGGAGGTGGGCCTACTTACATAGGAGCTAGTGTCTTCTGGGAAAGACTCCAGCCCCTAGGTCCTGGTGTCCAATGGTCCAAAGTCTTTTGGAATGGATAAGAGTGGACCAGATTAAGGCACAAAATAACAGCTTGAGAAAAGACTGGTGACCCAGGCTTACTGTACAAGGAAGGTGTAAGTTGGATGAAAGGGTGGGATTCTAGTACAAAATGTGGTAAAGATGGATGCAACCCCCTAACCCGGTGACACAGGCATACTGGATGTGCTTTGGAAATAGTAACTGTGTGTGTGTGTGCTCAAGGGAGCACCATGTATTGAGTTTAATGCCATGGAAGTCAAAATACCATCTTCCTTTGAAGCCTGTGGCCTGCACAGGGCCATGCAAAATCGTCACTGCTGGATGAGCAGGAGTCCAGGGGACTGCACAGGGTTGTGTGTGTTCAACAGCAACACCATGTAGCAGCGAGACCCAACAAGGAGACAGAAGCTGTTGGAATGCAGGCCTCTTTCCCTGTGACATTTGAAAGCATCAACACAGTCTTCGCACGGGAGTCCAATCTGCCAGAGAAGGGCAAAGCAAATCGGGCCTTATATTAAATTCCTGGAAGTCAAACTTCCTGGTCCAATGAGGAACTTCTCAAGGGCCTTCGCTGGAGAAAGGATGTTCAGCAAGAACGAAGGACAGCTTCGTTCAGATGGATGAGCTTAGTGCATCCTGAGTGGTGAGCTGACCGGGGCCCAGGTAAGCTGCACAACAGATTCTGCTGGGGGATATCAGGGCAAATGCCCACTTAGATCTACCCCAGGGAGCATTGCCTTCTTGTTCTAAATTAACCTTAGATTAGGTAGGAATAATTCTAGTTGTACAGTCACAGGGGTGTACAAGCTGTAAATTGGACACCATTTTGGACCTCAACTCTCTGGAGGGATTTCTGAGCACCTCCTACTTAGAGAGGAAGGCCTGGGAAGAAGACACAAGCCAGCTTAGTAAAGGGCCAGGGGCAGGTAAAATGTGAGTAAAGTTTTTAGAATTAGGGTCAAAGTCAGCTAGGCCTTTTCAAAAATAAGCCATAGAAATGTAGGGCAGAGAAGGGCCAAAAATGGAATAAAAATCGAGGGACCCAAGCTTTCTGCATCTGCAAGGTTGTTGGATGTTCTTGTCATGTGGTTGCTCCGTTTCCCATTAGCCTGGAGGCCACAGATGTGGGATCTTGAAGCGGTCTCGGGACACAGGAAACCCCAGTTACCATCCCAACCCTAAAGGCTGCTTTTGGATGGAGTAAACCTGAATGTTACTTGCAGGAGATCCCCATTATCTCACGTTTTGGAAGGCAGCTGGGAAGAAACCATCATTCACCAACCAGCACAGCTGTTGAGGAATCACATTCAGCTGGAAAAGAGAGAACTAGAATTTTCTGGAGCCCCTTTCTCTAGTTTCTTCTAGAGATCTGGAATATCTCAGATCACCATGGGCATTTTCCTCCCAGCACTTATCATAATTAATACCGCTTTGGGTGATTACTTGATTAATGTCTGTCTCATCCCTCCAGACTATTAGTTTCCTGAGGACAGGGATCCTGTCTGTTTGCTCATCACTTTATCCTCACTAACGCACAAGAGACTGAAGTGTGTGTCAATGTGTGTAAGATTTCGGGGAAAGAACTACCTGTCAGCCTTTTAGGTTGCAAGGTTGGGAGGGATATGGCATCAAAGGTTGGGACCAGGCAGGAAGAGGGCCTGGTTCACCTCACAGCGGAAGGACAGAGATCCTGACCACAGCAGCTGGTGAGGTGATGTCTGGGAGCTGTGAGAGGCCATTATATTTTAGGTCATTGGGCTGCTCAGGCTGGCACATGCTCAAAGTTAAAAGTCCATCTGTGGGAAGAACTGCCACATTGGTCCTCCAGCTGACACATATCATGTTCATTTTAGACTCCAGTGTTTCTATGCCTTCTTTGTCAAGATGACTGGGACAGGTGGATAGAAAGGAAGAAAGGTGAGGGTCTCCCAGGCTGCAGGAAGGTTAGGGTGAGTGAGATGAGCAGTTGCTGTGGCTTAAAAATGTTGCCCAAAAAGTTGGGTTGGTATTGGTATTCTGTTGGGAGGGAAGCTGGCTGCAGAGGAGGAGGGCAAAGAAAAAAGGAGAAATGAACACTTTCTTAGGAGAGCCTGGAGTGCACGCTGGCCCCAATGGGTGGACATTTCTGCCACTGTCTCTCAGGTCTTCCCCCAGTCTCCACGGTGCAGAGAGCCCCGTCATCTCTACCCCCAGGAAAGGGCTGCTCAGATAAGGCGGCCCCTTTCACCTGGAGCTGGGATCCCACGTGCCCATCAGGAAATGGACTGGGGTGGCTAATCCCCTGACCTCAGTTCCAGGAAGGAAGAATAAGTGTACATCAGCCAAATTTTTAAAAGTTTCATAAAATCAAAAGATTCCATTCACCTCCACACCAAAAACAGCAAAACAAACAAGCAAACAAAAACCCTCAAACAATAGCAACAACAAAAACAGAGAAAGCTCCAAAGCATAAAATAAAAGCAAACGGGGTGTAGACACTATCAAGTTGAGCAAGGAGGAACATCATAACCTTCCTTGCCCCACGGTGGATTTAAAATCCTTCATCCCATGCTACTGTGGGAGAGCACGGGGGCTTGGGTCTGGCCCCAGTTCTTCAGTGAAGGCTACCTAATTTAGAGCCTGTTCCTTCTACGGAGCTGTGAGTGTCTGGGGGTGGGTGTGTCCACGTTGCATCCACTGGGCTGGTACTAGGTACCCACCAGATGCATTCAATTGAAGTTTAGGGAATGAAAAGTGCTCTCAGAGTGGGAGGGCTTCTAGCGCCATCGCGTAGCCTCTATTCTGGCAAACGTGACCACAATTTTGATGCGATCATCAGGACATGGAGCTGGGCTTCTTTGTGTGGCCTCCTCCTTGCCTTCTTGATATTTAGGAGGCAGGACAAATTGAATTGGGGTGAAGAAGGAACAGCTGACAAGGCCCTGGAAAATGTGGGACTGCTAGTGCTGGAGGGTCATGTACAGCCCACTGGAGTCCAAAGACCTCATTTTAGATCTGAGACGACTATGGTTGCAGGGGGTGGGGTGAGGGGGATGTGAGCTTTGTTAGTTTTTTTTTTTTTGCCCTGCCTTTATGAGGCTAGGTCTAGCGAGCATTCACAGCTGGTGTAGCCTGGGGTGGTTATCCCTGAGACTAGTCGGGCTCAGCCTAAGGTGACTTCTGTGGCTAGGGCTGCTTGCCCTGCCTGCCAGCCCCTGATGGAGCAAAGGAAGATTTTAACCCTGAAGTCCTAGGCATGAAGGACTTGAGACCCAGTATCACCAGAGGGCGGCTTATCTTTGGAGACCTGAGGTTTGCCTTAAGGCCAAAGTACAGCAGGAAAGACAGCAGGACTTACTACAGAATACTTTACCCTCCAATGAACATGTGCTGGGCTGCGGGGAGAGCCCCCTGAGGTTGGGCTGGACTTCCCCTCTCAGATCATCGCTTGGAGCAGCCCCTACCTGCTTCCACCCTTGCTGACTGCTACAAAGCCTCCTCTCCCACATAGGTGGTACCGGGGTCCAGAATGCTGGGAGAGAAGTCCCAAGTGCCCACCGCAAACGCTATTCCAGAGGCAGAGGCAGAGGCAGAGGCAGAGGCAGAGGGCTTTGAGATGCTGCAGACACAAAGCAGGAAAGAAACCCAAGGACCTTCCGCCGTTCAGTGTGATTAGAAATGACACCTCAGAGGAAAACCTGATCACCAAGAGTGGTTCCTTGATCTGTAAGCAAAAGAAGACTTTGTTTTGTGTGTTGAGAGGAACAAGAGTAGGCAGAGGATCAGACCATGGGGAAATAGGATTGGCCTCATTCCAGAGCATAACACACTTTGTTGCAGAGGTCCCTGTTGCTCTCAGCAACCTACTGATCAAGGAGGACAGCTTGAAGCACAAGGAAGTGAAGCTGCGGGGCTTCCTGCTGATACTTACAGAAAGAGAAATGGCCTTGCTGTTTCCCAAGGACAAGTCAGTTCAGGGCCCAGTGGGGCTCCAGGCAGCACCCCTCCCCTGTGCCCCGTGAGCTACCGGACCCTGCTGTGTCAGGCGTGGATCCACCTCTGCCTAAGCCACTAGGCATGTGGGGTGGTTGCTTGCAAATCTGTCAACTGAGAGAAATAATAGTATTTTGCAGTGCAGAATGATGCCCGAGCTCCAGAGGCAAGTTCTGTGATGCCCGAAGAGAGGAGGAAGAGTTGGGAGGAGGAAAAAATAAGTAAAGAAGCAGATTCATCCCTTGGGTGGGATTTCTGTGCTAGTCCGTCAAGGATGAAGAATTTTCCTATAATGCCGTGGCCCAGGGCTCCAGTAAAGGATTTCTTTTGACTGTGCTCTCAAATAATGTCTGACCCTCACTGTGTCATGGGGCCCAGTTCTCCCAAACCAGAAACTTGAATGTCACCTTTGACCCCAGCACACTCAACACATCCTTCCCCCAGCCTCTGCAGGGGGTTGTCCACCCACACATGCACTCTCATGTCATGGCCTTCAGATCAGCCAGATGTGGGGGGCCAGGCACTGGGGTGTCTGCACAGATTCCTGACTGGCCTCCCTGTTTCCAGGCTCCAGCCTTCTTGTCCTTTCCATTCTCCCCTCACCGTGGAGCACCTGGGGCTCCCCAGCTCACAGAACCTCCCACAGCTTCCCGTTGCCCACAAGTCCTAACTCTGTGACCTGAGGTGGAGGACCAGACCCTCCGAGGCCTCTGCTCCCTCCTGCTCTGTACCCCACTTTCTTCTGCACACCTTCCAATTCCGTGCCTAAAAACTGACTCAATTGTTTCAAAACACTTTGAGTGCACCCCCACCTCCTTTGACCTGCTAGGTAAGGTGTTCCCCCATTGAGAATCAGATTTCATTCAGATTCCAACTTAACTTCCTCTCCATAATTGGGGGTCCCTCCCCTGGACTGAAGCTGAAGATGCTCCTACCTACCAGGCCCTCTATACAGAGCTTACAAATGGGTTAGTTTCCTCTTGCTGCCTTGTATGTGTGCCTAGATGTGTGCTTTTTTCCAAAGACACTGTAAATTCCTTGAGGGCATGGATTGCGTTTTGGGGTTCCCTGAAGCCTCAGCTTTGCACAAAGGGCCTGAAGACGGGGTGCTTGCTGCTGGCTTGTGGGTTTAAGATTCTCCTATGACCCCCGAGAATTCTAACCTTCAACTGGAGGGCTGCATACTCAAAAGCAATGTCCACTTTGGATGGAAAGAAACCTGGGCTGAGATGAAGTGAGCGGGGAGAAACGGAGAGAGGAAAGAAGACACTGAGAAGTGGCGCCTCGTATTCTTGAGGGAGAAGGGAAGCTCTTTGTACTCATCCACAGGGAATAGCAACCCAGCCCCAGCCCCAGAGCGGCCTGAGTGGGAATCACGATCGCTGTGCAGAATGTTGGTGGCACCAAGACAGGCTTCGAGGACAAGTCTAGGGGCCAGATGACCTGGCTGCAGGTCAGTGAGGAAGCAGGCAGTGCTGGAAATCATGTCCCAACACAACAAATATCATCCGTTTAAGCTAAGTGAATGCCTGAAGCCAACACAGAGCAACTTTCATCATCCAGAGAAGGGTGGAGCAAAGAACGTGTGTGCGGGTGTGCACCTGCCTTCAGGTCCTCGTATTCTCTCCTATTCTGCTCCCCCAGGGGGTGGCGAGGATGTGGGGAGGGCCAGAGGACAGCAAATTTCTTTGATCAAACTAAAAGACTCCCTCCTCAAGTGATTCCCAGGATCTCACCCTCCTCAAATGCCATCTCAAGTGTCCCCAGACCCCAGCCATTTGGAGGTGTGGGTGACAACCCACCTTCCACTTGAATCTCAGGGCCAGGGATGGTCCCTGCTAGGTAAAGGTTTTCTGAGTGGAGAAAAGAAGAGTGGGATCTGAAAGACGATGGGGCCCTCTGCCTGGCAGGGGAGAGGTGGGCAAAGGCTGGTCCCCAGGTCTGTGCAGGTTGCGGTGGCTGGCTGGCACTGTCCCCAGGGGCAGTGCCAGCTCCACACAGCAGCACTCAACCTTCCCTTTCTCTCTCGTGGGCCATCTTCTCCATGCCCATTCTCTTCTCAGCTCAGCTGACATTCACTCCTTAATCTTGTAAACCGCAAGGAGAGAGAGTAAGTGGATGGAAGAGTACTAGGAACACATACAGAGAGGACAGCTATGAAAAGGGATGTGGGCTCAGCCCTGTGCATGCCAAGCCTGATCTCCCCCAGGCTTTTCTGGGAGCAAAACCTCCCTACGCAGCTGAGCAGCTAGCCTGCTGGAAGTCATGGTAGGTGGAGAGGAGCCTCTTGGATCAGTTCAAATTTGGAACTTTCCTTAGTATCCCTGGAGAATAAACTGTTTCTGGAGTGTAAGGCCAAAGAAAACACCACCTATTTCATACAGCAGAGTTTCATCCCGTGGGTCGCACACCATTAGTGGGTTGTGAAATCAACTTAGTGGTTTACTGCCAGCGTTGTAAAACAATAGATTAGAAACAAAAATCTCAGGGTATCACAAAAAGGGTAAGTATTTTTTTCCCAGTGTATATACATCTATCCATACCTATGCCTATACCTATATTGTATCTAAATATCTCTGTGGGGAGGCAATGCAAAGTTTGTTAAATGTATTTCTTACTGTGATTTTGTGGTCAAGAAAGTTCAACTAACATTAGCCTGGACAAACTCGTTGCTGATAGGATCATCTGGCCCTGGAGGAGCCAGAAAGAAGCAAGCCCATGTGGAGAAAAGTCAGAACTGAGGCTCTGGCCCGTTTTGGCCTCCTGGACCTGACAGCCCTTTTGGGCCCCTCCCGGAATTAGGCGAGCACCTCATTGGTCCTTGGGTGGGAAGGGCTGTTGTGGGAAACCTTCTTTAGAGGCCCCTATGTGTATTCCGGTTGTCTAAATGCCATGGCTCTTCACTGCTCTGGGTCCTCACGTTAGCTTCTGAATCATGCAGATTGCTAAAAGAGAGCCCTGCAGAACTTGGGAGAACTGGATAGCGCTAAGGTACAATGAGAAAACAGCAATTGGTCAGCAAATGTCAGCGGTCTTCTGGGGCGTGGTGCTGTTTGAGGTCGGGGCTGAGTACTTGCCCTTGCTAAAGGATGAAATCCAAGAGCCCCTGGAAGACTGAGAGGGGCCGGGTTTGGGGACCCTCTTCCTGGAAGATCATTAGGGAAAGCACGGGGGTCTGGGGAGAGGCAGGCCCTGCTGGATGCCTCAAAGCAGTCACCTCTGATAGCTGCAAGTTCTTTTCTTGTTTGAGAAAAAGAGTGCAAGGCTTTTTATCATTCCTCGCCGGATGCTCCACAAATCACCGAGGATTTGAGAATAGCATCCAGAATGCTGAGAGAGGAGAAAGAATATGAATGTGTGTGCACACACACAGGATGCTCCCGCGTGCTGCTGGGTGGCGGGGCACTGACTGACTACTGGGGTGCACTGCCGAAGCCATTCCTGAGTTGGGCTGGTAGGGGTGCTACACAGGGAGATGTCATTTTTTTTTTAACTAAGAAATTACAGAGTATCTAGCACACTGCCTGGAATATACTACATGCTTAATTTAGAGGGGTGATTTTCCTAAAGATTTCAGAATGATTTGTCCTTGTTAATCACTGTGGAATCCAGGAAGAGTGCTGTTCAAAGGTGTCTGTTCCTGTGGTGTGGACAGCATGCAGAAATAACTGAAATTAGGATTCTCCTGTTAAAGGAAAGCTCCAGCTTCTAAAGCCTTCATTATTCTTTGCTTCTTTCAAAATCCCTTTTATCCCCACTGATGGTCAGCCCTCTCCCTTTCCCTCCCCCATCCCTTGTTCTCTCATTCTCCTCCCTCTCCCTCTCAGGACTACCTGCATCTCTCTGGCCTTCAATACACCACCAAGAGGGGAGGAAAATTAACTGGGCAAAGAAAAGTTATGGATTCTGACGTTAGAGCTAGGGCTAAGTCAATAGTCTAGGCTACTTCTCAGACCTGAGACTCAACTGCTTTGAATTTCAGTTTACTTATTGCCATTTGGGAATAACAAGAAATGATCCCAACTCAGGGATTCACTCCTGTGCTCATATGAGAGAGCAAAGACCGTCTGTACCTTGTTATCGTCATTGCCATGATCTCTGAGCACACTCTTAAGCAGCAGGGACTGCCCATTAGCGACCATTTCGAAACAGTTGAGGGTATTGGCTAGGGGGTGTGTCGTCAACAACTGTTTCTGCAAGCACTTGCTGAACACTTGTTCATTAGCTGGCACTGTGCCTGGGTGAGGGGCTCTGGGAAGAATTGAGACCAGAAACTTTGGCCTCCTCTACGAGGCTCTAATCTTGTCAGGGAAAGCATGGAAACAGAGACACATGGGAATAGAGGACACATGGGAATAGAGGACAGTGATGGCTTGGATGAGATTCAGTGAAACTATCTGAAATGGGTCTTCACTGCTATTTGTTTCTACAAAATGGGGTGCATCTTGCAGCTTTAACTTCTGTGTTTATGGGGAAAAAACGTAACCCCTTGGAAGCACCCTTCAATCATTCAACTTTCTTTTTTTTTTTTTGACGGAGTTTCACTCTTGTTGACCAGGCTGGAGTGCAATGACGCGATCTCGGCTCACGGCAACCTCCGCCTCCCGGGTTCAAGCGATTCTCCTGCCTCAGCATCCCGAGTAGCTGGGATTACAGGCATGCGCCACCATGCCTGGCTAATTTTTGTATTTTTAGTAGAGACGGGATTTCTCCATGTTGGTCAGGCTGGTCTCGAACTCCCAACCTCAGGTGATCTGCCTGTCTCGGCCTCCCAAAGTGCTGGGATTACAGGCATGAACCACTGTGCCCAGGCCAGTCATTCAATTTTCATAGCGTGGACTTGAGTCAGATTATTCTTCATGGACAAAGATTTCTGAGAAGGCTGGTTAGTATATAGCTGGAGAAATAAAGCAACTCAGAAACTCCATTGGCTCTTTTAAACAAATTTTACTCTATTAAAATTGGAGACAAACATGTCTGCCATCTCTCACTTTGGTAGTAGGGAGTAAGGGGTGCCGTACTCAACCAGGGTTCCTAATCCACAGTTTGTGGTTCTCAAATTTTGCACTGATATGCCGCTAGGACACTGCAGCAAGCTCACAGAACTGCCAAAGAATATTTTAAAAATTTCAAAGTGGCAACAGTGGCATCTGTCAGATACCAGGTGTTGAGTTGTTTGGACCTAACTATGTATTAACAGAACTACTAGTTATTTCTTTTAGTTTAGGGGCACTGCAAAGCATTACTGAGATCCCAAAGGCATCCTGAATGGGAAATGTTTGGCAGGCTCTCTGGGGCTCAGTGCACCATCACCATGTCCACAATTGGATGGCCACGCGGAAGCACACCTGTGCACGGACATCTCTTCTACACACCCGCACCTTGGTCTTATCTTTGGCCAGCTCCTTTGGACTTGGCAGTTGCTGATTTGCTTCTTTTAAAAATGTGTGAGTTTGTCACGAATTTGGTCTTGATTCACAGTGTCCACCGTTCAGCACCAGAGGCAGCCGTAACTCCTGCCTTTGGGGTAAGAGAGAGGTGGTTAGCTCAAAGGCTGTGAGTTTTCAACACTGGGCAAGCCTCCAAACTGACACCCAGGCTGGCAGAATTTGCCTCTAGAGCCATTGGGTAGTGGGTGGCCTCATCTTCTCCTTCCTGACTTTGTCCCCTTCTTTCTGGAAGGCCTCCAGCCCAGATCCCTGCTTACCCTTTCCCTCCCATCAGCTTTCCCCTGCACGCCCTCATAGCGCTGATGCCACCTCTGCACCCCTCCCAGGTCTGTGTGCTCTGCTGCCTGTGGGCTTCGCTGCTCCACCGTTGCTCTCAACTGCCATCGGAATTTTCTCTCCTGAAGATTCTCAGCGGTTGGTGCCCAGGTTCTGCAGCCAGGTGGACTATGAGGCTCCAAGGCTGTTGGGATTCAGACCCGCTGTGGGGACCTGGCAGCTAGTATACCAGAAATGCGCAGTGAATATGTGATGGATCAACCTAATAGCTTAATTCCCAGCGAGAGTTTCAGGGCAGCTACAGTCGCGTGTGAGAGCCCCCGGTCACTGCTTCTCATTTTCCAGAGGCTCTTTCTGCCTTAGCTGAAGAAAAACCTGATGGGGGAGCCCAGGCAGGCCCAGCAGAGGGGGTCTGTGGCTGGGGGACATCGGCCCTCCCGTGGCCCTTCTCTTTCCTGCTGCTCTTGCTCGTCCTTTGCCGTGGCTCTCGTGTCCTTCCAGGCAGGTGGCTGAGTGCATGCAGCCTACGTAGACGGGGCAGGGCTGTGTGGGGATTTAGGTGCTGGATTTAATAAATGTTTTTATCTTTGCATGGCAACAGGGAGAGGAGACTAATGTCTCCAAGGCTGAGGCGCACACCTCACCTTCTCGCTCTGGCGGGCCGGGCCTCTGGCAGCCCCTGGCTCTGCTTCACAGGGTTGCTGGGCCCTGCTGTCCTGACGCCTTGCAGCGGGAGGTGGGAGGGACGGGGAGGGGAGCTGGAGGAAAGACTGCCCCACCTTTGACATCCCCAGGCTTCCCAGTGTTGCCGCCTCTCCTGTATCAGCTCTTGAGACCATTTTAGAGGTGGAAAGAAGCTCTGCTTTTTAGCACACAGAAAAATACCCTGGCCAGGTGGGACCTCACTGGAGATGAGCCTATGGTTTAAGGCCTTTTAAGAATGGAGGTTCAGGACTCAGGGCCCTTCTGGTGCTCTGCTCGCCAACCCCCCATGTTAGGTTTGGGCAGGCTTGGAGGGGATCTCCTGCCAGAAGACCCCCAGCCCCACTCTCCTGGTAGACCAAGGCCTTGCAGATCAACTCTGGGCCCCTGGGAAGAGAAGTAGAGCCTGGTCTGGGCTCCTTGCTGCGTCTGGCTGAGCCACAGGCAGAGGGACACGCGGGAGCAGCCCTGGAAACTGGGGTGTCCGGGACCTCAGCTACTAGAGGGGCAAAGGAACATCTATGAACAGCTCCCACCGGGCCTGCCATGCTTTCAGACGCAAGAAATAGCTCCACTGCCTGGGCCAACGTTCTGCTGGCTCCTCCTTTGATAGTAGCAGTCAGGTCTTGTGCTGAGAGCTGGGCCTACAGGGATTTATTATCCAGAACGGCTGCTCTAGAGGGGCGGGTAGTTGATTTGGAGAAAAAGCACACATGCATTTGTCACCTCAGTGTAACAGGGCTCTGTTCTGGCAGTGACAGGATCACAGAGGAGGGCTCCCCATCCAGGGCCCCTGTCCTTGGGAAGGTTTTGGAGCATGGAGAGCCTGAGCTGAATCCTGATGAAGAAAGCGCTTAAGTCATGCCAAGAGTGGGATGTGGGGGAATCCAGGGGTGGGGTGGGTATGGGGACCCCAGCGTGGGGAAGGCACTGACGTGTGACATAGCAAGGGTGAGGACACTGGGGGAACTGAGTATTGAGGAAACCAGTGGATGGTAGGATTGCAGAAGGAATGATGGGCAAGGGATGACAGGCTTGTTGGGCCTGGATTTTATTCTGTGAATTCTTCTGGGAAGAAGGACAGCCAGAGGGCCAGATGGGCATTTTGGATGGAGCTTGCTGGCTGCAGTGTGCAGGGGACAGACAGACCTAAGTGAAGTCAAGAGTTGGGGCACAAGAGGTGGCCACTGCAATGAATGAGGCAGGAGATGAAAAGCCCCAGTGAGGGTGGGAGAGGGGCAGGAGGGCTAGTGGGGAGGAGGGAAGGGGTTGCAGGTTCTGGGTGGCCTTGGGTAGATGCCACCAACTAAAAAAGGAACAGAGTTGGGAGATAGGGATGTTGATGACATTCGGTCTCTGTGGCCTCAAGGGAGATGGAAGTGGAGGTGTCCATTGCTCCTGGCCAGGCTGGGCGGTTGGGTATCAACATTCACAGGCTTCCTAAACCAGAGTCAATGAGATAGCGCCGGAAGGGTGAGGGGAACAGTAGGCAGGGACATATTCCTAAGGATAGATTATAAGGGGCAGGTGGAGAAGCAAGACAGGGGCAGAGGAGGCTGGGGCTGGAGGGCTGGGGAGTGTGATGCTGCTGAAGAAGAGGGCTGTCCCTCACAGGCTTTGGGGGTCTTCACCCACTCTCTCCTCTCCCACCAGTCTATGAACGGGTTGCTGAGGGGAGTGACCAGTCTTAAGGGCTAACACTATGTTTGACATACGCTTGGTGCTGAATTAATGTTAGTGAAATCCACTGAACACAAATGTGGCACAGAGGCCAGTGAGAGGAGGACTGGAAACATTGGTGGCTTTGGCAATGGTCAGGGGGATGGTGTGCTATTTGGTAGACGAGTTTGGGGGACAGGAGAAGCGGGGGTGGAAGCTAGACTTCAGCAGGCTGAGGAGGCAGTTTTTTGGGTGGAGTTGGGTGGGGGTGATGAGGAAGTGGAAGAGAGTGAGTGTCTCCATTCCTCATAAGAGTTTGTCTGAGACAGGAAAGAGAGAAAGTGCCGAGCTCACATTTTGCGACTAGAGCATTTGAAATTTGTTACTCCTCTTTCTCCTCGAAACACGGCATGTTCCTTGTAGCAAAGTTAGAAAAATACATATAAGAAGAAAAAAAACTTCTGTAATTCCGTCCATTAGAAACATATCCTGTTCAACCTCAGAGTAATTTCCTTCTGGACTTCTTCCGGCTTTGTGTTTTAGTAGAAATGGTATCACTCGGGGCATTATTTTGCAGCGTATCTGTTTCTCTTTAATAGTTCATGAATACCTTTCTCTTGTCGATGCTACTCTTCTTCCAAAATATCCTTTAAACTTTTATTGACCTCTCTATCTCGTATCTGGGATTCAAATGCTTCGAAATCCAACAGGTGCAAAGGCGCATTCAGGGGAAGGTTGCCCCTTTTATTTTCTGCCTTGGAGCTCACTCTTTTTCGCTCCCTGGAGGCAACTGACACTCCTTTACAAGCAGCAAATTTAGTAGTTAGTTCATATTCCATTGCATTAATGTTCCGACATTTATTTATTTTTTAATTTTATTTTTTTTGAGACAGGGTCTCCCTCTCCAATATTTAGTAAAATAGCTTTCTGTCTTGAGTATTTGGATGTTACTGTTTTATTTTGCTATTATACATAAGGTTATGATGAATGTCCTTCTGGCTAAATCTTTGCATACATACTTCATTTTGTTAGAATAGATTTTTAGAAGCAGAATTTCTGGGTCAGAAGGTACGACAAACTAAAATCCAATATCAGATTTTTACCTCCAAAACAAGCTGTATCGATTGACATCCCCTAGCGATGCATGAGAATGTTTGTATCCCCACCTAGGCCCTCCACCTGTGTTACTAAAATTCACTTCCTCAAACTGTGTCAACTTAGTGGGTGAAAGGTGCATGTGAGGGCCTCTAATCCTCATTGCGAACTGCACTTTTAAAGGGTGCAAGTAGCATCTTGGGGAAAAATAGGAGAGTAGGTGATGGCTCCAGGGAGGTCAGCTCTGAGCCCCCAGGGAGGGCTGACCTGTGAGAAGAGCAGAGGAGACAATCTAGCGTGGCTTGAGGTGGCTGCATTGCCAGTGGGTGCAAAGCCCAGGGACAGGATTCTTCATTTTTTCAGAAACCCCCAGGTGGAAGGGGGAGGGCCCCAGGCCATGAGAAGCAAGAAGGCCATGAACGATTCAGAACCTGAGGTCGAGGGACCATTGGCACGCACGCAGGATTTTTGTTTTTCCCCCTCAAAGAGACTATGGTGATCTTTTTCTGACAACTTACTGGTGCACTAAAAGGGGTTCCTGGAATAGGGTTGGGGGTGCTGGTGGTGAATGCTCTTGGGTGATCAAAATGCGCCTCTCTCTTAGAGTTTGCCCCGTGCACAGGTTTGGGGTAGGAGCCTGTGTCCTTGTGTCCTCTGATACTGGGCTGTGCTGCTTGGGGAAGGGAGAATAAAGACTGCTTTCGTGCACCCAGCTGAGAGGTGGGGCAAGGGACACCAAGAGCTCCCTTATTCATAAACGCCAGATTTTAGAAAGTTTGCACTGAAGGGTGAACCTGGACATTGGGAAGAGCAGGATATTCCCTCAACGTTCACCTACGCTTTAGGTTTCTGTAAATAATTCCTGCTTTTACCACGTCAGCCTCAAGGGCCAACTCCTTCTCTTTGGTTTTTCTGCACTGCTGTAGACAGGGCAAGTCTCTAGACAACTTAGTTTCTTAAAAACTGTAGGACAAAAAGGAGAAATAAACAAGATAATTTGACTTCCAATACGTAGTCACGTGTCTTTGGGTTAGGGTTGCAAGATGTCTCCCTGGATTGTTTCCAGTCTGACTCTCAAGTTTGGGAATCCAAATTTCAGCCCTACCCCTCAGGGGCACCTACAAGGAACATAAGCTTCCTTGACGTTCACCTTAGAGAGCTGGCACCAGAGTGAAATGAGCAGCTCCAGTCCACTCTCTGTGAATTTAGAGCCATACCTTGCTCTTACAGTTTGCTTGTCCCCCAGCTATTATTTCCTGTTGATTATGATTTTCAAATACGGTTTTATCCAAGGCATAGTTTTGGGCCCAGGTGACATTTCCCCATCCTGCACTCCAGCTGGATTCTTCATTAGCCTCTGCATTCATTCCCTAGGGCTGCTGTGAAAGATGACCACAAACTAGGTGGCTTAAAACAACAAAAATTTATTCTCTCACAGTTCTGGAGGCCATAAGTTTGAAATCAAGGTGCCAGCAGGGTTGGTTCCTTCTGGAGGAGCCTATGAAGGAGGCTTCCATTCTTTTCTTCTTTGCATGTCTTCTCTTCTTAGGAAGACACCAGCCACTGGATTCAGAGTCTACCCCAATCCGGTATGACCGCATGTTAAGTGGGAACATTAGCAGAGACTCCATTTCCAAATAAGGTTACATTCTGAGGTGCTGGGTGGACATGAATTATTTCGGGCAACCATTCAGCCCATTGCGGTCTCTCTGCCTTCGGACTCCTCTTTCTACCTGTCCATGCCATGGACCCTGTGGGAGTCATTTTTTTTAACCTTCCTGTAGTGGAACCACCCCACCCCTGCTTTCAAGCCCTTCAAGGACTCCCCACTGCCAACAGAATAAAGTCTTATCTCTTTAGCTCAACTTATGGAGACTCACCATAGTCTGGCCCCTATGATCTTTTCTACATTCCATTTCTCCATTTCTCCTACACACTCCCTACCATCCCTGGGAAAGGTCTTCTATGTTGTTGAACATGCTGTGGATGCTCTTTTCTCCTTCCTCCTTCTGTCTATTGCTGAGACGCTCTTTTTCTCGAACACCCGTGTCATATATCTTTCCTTGTTCATGAGGACGTTTCTAGCCAGCCCATGTCAAAGGGCTCACCTCTCTCCACAGACCAACCCTAGCCCACACGGTGCACCATTCCTCAGTCTGTAGTGTGGCTGTCCTCTACTGGTGACATTTCCATTTTCCATTTCCATTTTACCCAGGGGCAAGCCTGTGTGCTATACTTCTTTGGGTCCTTGGTTTTGACAATGGTGTTCGGAACAGGTGGCTTCATGGTCAATGATTTTGTATGCTGCTGCTGGTGTGAGCATGCTGAATTGCTCCATGCCTGCAGCTCCCTCTAAAACTGATGGAGAGCCCTGTGCTGAGATGAAATGGGGGGAAAGGAGAAATTTGTTGCCACTTTGAGAGTCAAAGGCAGTGGTCTTTCCAAGGAAGAGTGAACTAGCAGAATCACTGCAGGAGAAGCAAATTCTGGAGGCTGGATGCCAAGAGGTGCTGTAAGAAAAGTTGTAAAGATATATGTGGGGGAAACCACTGCTCCCATCCCCCTTGGGAGACAATTGGTAAACAATATAGTTGGCAAAGGATAGGGACTGGGAGGGAAGTAAAAGAGGAGACAGAGTACAATGAACAGAATAGATGCCAATGGCCTTATCAGCTTTAACAGATGATCTGAAAACTTTAAAGTAACAAGGAAGTTTTTATTCCCATAATTGTTAGTAGTGTCTTTTGCTAGCTCCTCCGATGTGACAGTGATTGACCATTGGCAGCTGGGTCTTCAAACTCTCTTCTAAAATGTTGCATCTCTATGGGGACACATGAGGAACTTAGTTCTTCTATCTGGAAGTAGGTGTCCTCTAAGAGTTCTTGTGTTGTGTACTCTGTATCCTTTTTTTTTTTTTTTGGACTATGTCTCAGTTGCATCAAAGCCCCATTAACATTGCCCTTTGGGATCAAAAAGTAGTCCACCCGAGAAGAAAGAGTAGAGTTTTAGAGAACTGGGGTGAGAATTCTGGGCAGATGGCCAAGGTGTGGGCTCCAGGCTGAGCTTGCTGACACATGACATTGTATGTTTCAGGTACTGGGACAAGTTTTCAATGTCAAAATCTTTGAAGCCACCAGGGCCTTTTTTGTTTTTGTTTTTTGGCTAGGTCTTGGCAGTACTCCTTCATATAGTAGTAGGTTCAGAAACTCAGGCTAAGGAAAGCATCCAGAAAACATTGTCTGCCTCTGCAACAGTTTGTGGATAGCTTGTAATTGTAGTTCTGATCTTGTCAATCTGTCTTATAACTCTAAATGTGTGGTCTCACCTGGCTAGATACAGAAAATACCTATCTTCTTATAGAAGCAGGCAATCCTCAACCCCATTAAAAAAGTATGGTTTCTTGGACATTCCATCTAATAGGAATGCCAGTTTGCCTCCTGATATGTTGCCAGTCTGGCCATTTCAGCAGTCACTATTCAGCACTAGAGGAGGACTTCAGTAAAAGTTCCTTTGTCAGTAAGTCTTCCACGCAACATATTTGTTTCCAGGTCCTAATGGCAATTCCTCAGGATCTGGAGAAAAAAAAAAAAAAAAAAAAAGAAAAGGATCAACTCTCACGTTTGAGTTTGTCCCATTCATCTACATAAAGACTATCTATCAGTTTGAAGTGTCTTTTTGAGAATCAGAAAGGGGAGAGGATATAGGGGGCAAAGGATGTATTCTTTGAGATCCTGCTCTTAAGCAGTGATTCTTCTCTAGCACTCCTTATTTCTAGAATTTTCTAGCCATCTCTAACAAAAGCAAAGTGCAAAGAGCATTTAATACAAACCAAAACATGAAATGATCTTTTGATAGTTCAGTGTTGTGGCTGTGACTTGGAATTTTTCACTACATTTAAAAAAAAAAAAGCCACATATGCCCGGGTAGTCTCTGCATCAAGTCTGATACCATTGCTCCGACGTTATGAGGCTGAAGCAGTTGTGGCTGATTGATGTCACTCTTCTAGCCATCTCCTATTTCCACAGAGAGAGGCCGGGTTAATCCAACTCCAGTCTAACTTCGGAGGCATCAAGGATTCTAGGCAGCATCTCCCGTGTTTCTTTTTCCAAGTGAATTCCTGGAGGAAAACAATGAGGTCCATGTGTCTTTGCATCCCCAGGGACCAGCTCAGTAATGGGCGTATAAGAACACGCTGAAAAAAATTGTTTTGTTTTTGAACGACAGCGATTTAAGAGTAGTAAGGTCCTCGTAAATATAGGACATTGTACTCGTGTTTTTCTTCCGAGCATACAAATATTTGCAATGAGGTTGCACCGCAGACTCCACAGCCATTGTGGCACCTGGGGCTCTGTGACTTGGGAGGCAGAGGAGATGGAATGCCGGTGAGAAGAAGGAGATTGTGGTGTGAATGTGAGGGATGAGGGTGAATTAGCTTCCTACGGCGGCTGTTACAAGTTTACCACAAGATAAATGAGTTAAAACAGTACAGATTTATTATCTCACAGTTCTGGAAGACAGAAGTTCAAACTACTGGCAAAGTTCAAAGTGTTGGCAAGGCTGTGCTCCTCAGGAGGCTCTAGAGGAGAACCTTTTTCTTGCCTTTTCCTGTTTCTAGGGGCCACCGGCATCCTTCGGCTCATGGCCTCTTCCTCCATCTTAAAAGCCAGCTTCTGCAAATTCGTCTCTAATTCTGACACTACTTCTCTTGCCTCCCTCTCTCACTTATAGGGGTCCCTGTGATGACAGTAAGCTCACCCTGATAATCGAGGCTAATCTCCCCATCTTAGGGTTAGCCTATTAGCAACCTAAATTCCACCGGCAACTTTAATTCCCCCCTTGCCATGCACCGTGACATATTCACAGGTTCTGGGGAGGAGGGCATGAGCATCTTTGTCGGGGCATTGTTCTGTCCATCACAGAGAAGCACTCAGAGATTCCGGACTCCAGTATCCTCATTGTACACTTGAGGAAGCTTGGGCTCAGAGGCTTTATGTTAATTCCAACAGTTTTTGCAACAGGAGGAGGAGAATATCTGTCCAGGAGCCCTAATCAAGACTCAGCAGGAAGCTGGTGGCTTCCTTTCCTTCCTTCTTTTGCTTCCTTCCTGTTCTTCCTGTGCTTCCTTTCAGTTCTTCCTTCTACATATGGGGCCCATCACATTCCCACTGACTCAGATGCTGAGGGGCCAGACTGAAGGGACAGTGGCCATTGCATCAAGTCAGAGAACGGATCTGACCCATCTAGTAGAAGCTTATTGTTTTGGCAGAAGCACAAGCTCTTAGAGGTGCAGCTGCAGGGTGTGACCTATTGGGGACATTGAGCTCAGTGACCATGGGCCCTGAGAGTCTGAAATCCTGGAATTTCTCCCAAAACGAAGTCCATGTAGGGAAGCCAAAGTGTGAGTCTTACCCGGCTGGTTTACAACTGACTGACATTTGCTGCCTGGGCAGCTGTTGTGGGTGCCTGGAAACCCTATTGGACTAGGACTGGCCCCGGCAAAAAACAAGTGTTATAGCTGCCCAGTGTCCTCTGAGTGGATGCTGGTGATTCTGGTATGGAGCCCAGATGTAAGGCAGCAGGTGGTCCAGAAGGCACCAGAAGAGGTCTCCTGTCAAAGTCAGGGCCAGAGAAGAAGGCACAGGGAACCTACTGCACGAGACTTTCACTTGCAACGAGCAACCCATGATGAGGAGGGAGGATTCCTGGGGGCATTGAGTCCCCCAGACACAAGGACCCAAGACCTTCTTGCTTGGAAAGTGAATTCCTCAGAATTCCGAGATGATGCCAGTCTTGGAGGAAGATGACATGAGGACCCAAAACCTTCTTGCTTGGAAAGTGAATTCCTGAGAATTCCGAGATGATGCCAGTCTTGGAGAAAGATGACATGAGGACCCAAAACCTTCTTGCTTGGAAAGTGAATTCCTCAAAACTCCACAAAGACTCCAGTCTTGGAGGAAGATGACATGAGGACCCAAAACCTTCTTGCTTGGAAAGTGAATTCCTCAGAACTCCACGAAGACTCCAGTCTTGGAGGAAGACGAGGTGTTGAGAGATAGCTGGGATCCCTGAGGAAGGCAGCCCCAGTCTCCGGTGGAGAATTAAGAGGGGCCCAAGCAGATGGTTGGTGGTGGAAACGTCACCTCAGTATAGTACTATGGAGTTTCCTTTCACCCCCAACAGCCGACGGTTTCCAGGGGCGAAGAGTGAAAATTGAAGCAAGGTGTCTACTGTCCAGGTGAGAGCCACATCCTATGGCTGAGGGCCTGGGGGCATTGGGGACCACCAAGAATGAATACTTTTCCAATTAAGTGAAGTCTTTTGCACAATATTCCTGACCAATAGCTAATGTTCTCTGAGAGAGTCAGAGCTTCAGCCCGTGAAAGGGCGAGGGAACTTGTAGGAAGATATATGTGAGTACAGATGTGAGGAGAACATGCTGAAGTAGCCCAGGGGCTCAGTTGAAGCTGAGGACTGGTGGTTCTGGTGGCTGTGCTGGGGGTGGGGGTGGCAGTGTGAGATGGAAGTGAGTGAGCAGGTTGGGTGGGAAAGAGGAAGAAACCTAGGCTGTTGTGTTTCCGGAGAGACCCCGTATCAAGGAAGAATGGGGGGATTTATCAGCCGGGGGGATATTTATTTTGTGGAAATGACCCCTAAGTGGGTAGGGCTAAAACCCTGCTGGCCCGGGGGAGAAGAGAAGCCTAATGCACTTTGTCTAAACCCACAGCGGTAGACAAGGAGGCAGTGCGCCTGCCACCCCCAAGGAAGAGTCAGTTCAGAAGCACAGCAGCTGCTGGAAACCCAGGAGGTTTCCAGTTCGTTCCTGCTGGGACCTGGCAAGAACTGCACTGTCAAGGCTGCAAGAGGTGAGCCCCCTAGGGCACAGCGGAAAGGGCATCATGAAAAGGGGAGCCTGCTGGCTGTTGAATGGCTGGATAAGATGTTGTTCTGCGGCCACGTGGGGCTCTAATGCCTCTTAATTCTCTCAGAGGCTGGGCAGCAGCTGCCATGCATTTTGTTGGGACCTGGGCTCTTCTGCTAGGAGTTCCTGGGGGCAGGAAGGCTGCAAGTTGAGGTTTTCTTTTAGGAATTCATTGTTCATTTGGAAAATGTAAAACGACTCACCATGGCTCTTTCTTCTTCTCTTGAGGCTCCTGACGGCTTCTGACATGTACAGAATGGAATAAGAGAACCTAGCAGAAATGGAAGCAGAGGCAAGAGGTAAGGCTTTTGGCCTGAAAGAAGAATGGGGAAGCAGCCTCTAAGACCTTCTTCCTGGTAAATAAGAAGGGAAGTGCTCTGGGGAGCCCATCCTAGAAGCTTATGATTCCTGGGGAGTCTGGGGAAGAAGAGGCCCCTGAGTGACTGATGAGCTCATCTGTACTAGGCCAGGTTTGTGCTTCTTAGAGAGACCCTGGCGACCTCTCTGTGTTATTGTGAGAGGAATGAAGACTAGACCACGAAAATAGAAAGTACTTCAGGCTCTGGAGCAAGGAGAGTCCCTAAAAATACATAGTCAGTCCAGCATTTCTGGGAGCTGGAGAGGACCTGGCTGAAAAATCCCAGCAGTCAGCACTGCATTATCAAGTTACTTCTGGTTTACCGGAAACCAAGAACTTAAGACAAAATTGAATCCATTTGTCTTAGTCAACTGAAGCTGCTACAACAAATACCATAGATCAGGTAGCTTAAAATCAACAGAAATTTCTTTCTCCTAGTTCTAGAGGCTGTGAGTCTGAGATCAGGGTGCCTGCATGATCGGGTTCTGGTGAGGGCTCTCACAGTTTGCAGACTGCTAACTTCTTGTATCCTCACATAATGGGGAAAGGGTGAGGGAGCTCTCTGGGATCCCTTATAAAATGGCACTAATCCCATTCATGAGGGCTCTACCTTCGCGACCTAATCACCTCCCAAAGGCCCCACATCCTAATACCATAACATTAGAGACTAAGCTTCAGTGTATGAATTCTGGGAAGGCACAAACATTCAGTCCATAGCACAGTTTCTAGGTTTCTGTCCTAAACCACCAGTTAGGTTTCTGATTTTAATCCAGTTAGCACAGGCTTTTGATAATGACTGCTAGGTAATGTGTTTGTGTTTGAAAATGTGGTGTGACATCTTTTTTTTTTTTTTTCTGGAGACAAGGTCTGGCTCTGTCGCCCAGGCTGGAGTGCAGTGGTGTGATCATAACTCACTGCAGCCTCAAACTCCTGGGCTCAAGTGATTCTCCTGCTTCAGCCTCCCGAGTAGCTAGGCATGGGCCTCTATGCTTGGCTAATTAAAAAAAAAAAAGTAAAGAGATGGTTTCACTACGTTGCCAGAGCTGGTCTCAAACTCCTGGGCTTAAGGGCTCCTCCCGCCTTGGGCTCCCAAAGTGCTGGGACTACAGGCGCGAGCCACCATGCCTGGCCCATCATTATTTTAAAGTTATATGATATATCGAATTGACTATTACTCTAGAAGAATTTGAATATGATTTGTTAAGGTCTATAATGTAGCCTGTTACTACCTTAAACCTATGGACTCACTTAGGAAGTGAAGTCGTCATTGTTGGACCTATTCTTTTGATTAACAGAGGTATGTGTGAAGGGCAGGAGATGTCAATGTTTAAGGGCGTAGACCATGGAGGCCTGCTTCTGGGGTGAGGGGGTCTCTATTTTGCCTCTTAAGTGTGACTTGGGCAAGCTCCTTAGCTCTTCTGTCCCTTACTTCCCTCATATGCAAAATGGGGATAGAAATACTGTCTTCCTCATCAGGTTATTGTGAAGATTGAATGAGTTAATAGATGTACAATATACTGAACAGTGGTTGGCCTCAAATATTAGCTATTTTTATCTCTTACTTCACTTCTTAAAAATGTATTACATCAATGTGGATTTTGCAATTATTTTTTGAAGAAAAATTTAGTTATTTTCTCGTTCTGATAGCATGCCTAGGAAACAAGATGGTTTCTGTTTTGGGACAGACGATTCTGGAAAGATGTTAGAAATATAGTACATTGAAACAAAATCTTCCAGTATCATTAACCTACACCTAGTGTTAAGCCCTGTCTTTTTTACAATGTTGTGGTCTCAGTAAATGTTTGATAAATAACTTCAGTACATTCACCAAGTTATTTTTGGTTGTTTCTAGGTCTGGAGGCCAGGAAAATGTCAATGGAAAGCAGCTAGCATGAAGACCCCACAGTGTTCCTCCCTCTAGTAGTCTGGTATTATTTGGAGCTGAGATGCTCCCAATATGGTTGGGACATTTGTCCCCTCCAAATCTCATGTGAGAATTTGATCCCCCATTTTGGGGATGGGGTCTAATGGGAGGAGTTTGGGTCATGACGGGGGACCCCTCAAGAATGGCTTTGTGCCCTGCTCACCAGGAATGAATGAGCTCTCACTCTACTAGTTCACTGGAGAGCTGGTTTTTTAAAGAGCCTGGCGTCTCCCCAACTTTCTCTCTTGCTCCCCCTTCTCACTGTGTGATATACCTGCTCCCCTTTGCCATCCATCATGAGTGGAAGCTTCTTGAAGCCTCCACCTAAAGCAGATGCCGACACTATGCTTCCTGCACAGCCTGCCATACCATGAGCCAATAAACCTGTTTTCTTTGTAAATTACCCAGCCTCAAGTATTCATTTGTAACAATGCAAAATGGACAAACAGAAAATTGGTACTGAGGAGTGGGGCTTTGCTATAAAGATAGCTGAATATGTGGAAGCAGCTTTGGAAATGAGTAAATTGGCAGATATTGGAAGAATGTGGAGGGCTTAGAAGAAGACAGGAAGATGAGGGAAACTTTGAAACTGTCAACCAAAGGATGATGAGGTTCATAAATGTGGAAAGGAGAGCTGTATTTCTTATAAATGGTTGCAGCCTGCAGGGTGGCCATTCCGAGTGTCTGCGAAGCATAGCCTCTGGCCAGAAGCCAGAAACAGGCACTTGGAGTGTCAGAAGAATAAAACAAGGATTTGTGCTGAATGAGGTGGCCAAATATATATTCAGCAAGTTATAGGAGGAGCCATGAATATTTACGAAAGAAGAAACACATGTGCAGTTGACCTCCCAGCCCCTTCATGGGTTCGCATGTTAAAAAAATGGTAGTATTAGCAAGATGTGAGGGGGCAGTTTTTGGGTCTCTGACTTCAAAAGATGAAGCAGTGGACACAAAACCCGTCAGTCAGTGCACAGCCTCCCTAGACTGACTAGAACCTCTCAGTGGTTGGTGGTCTCTTATCAGGAAGGAATGCTGCTTGGTTGTTCTGTTGAAACTGCAAAAGGGAGGGACAGCATCAGGTGGTTGGTTGAAATCAGTGGTGAGGTGACTCTTTTGAAAGGGCTGGTTCCAACCCAAATGCTCATCAGTGATAGACTGGATAAAGAAAATGTGGCACATGTATACCATACTATGCAGCCATAAAAAAGAGTAAGTTCATGTCCTTTGCAGGGACATGGATGAAGCTGGAAACCGTCATCCTCAGCAAACTAACACAGGAACAGAAAACCAAACACCACATTTTCTCAAAAATGGGAGTTCAGCAATGACAACACATGGACACAGGGAGAGGAACATCACACACTGGAGCCTGTTGTGGGGTGAGGGGAAAGGGGAGGGAGAGCATTAGGACAAATGCCTGAAAACGTAGATGTCAGGTTGATAGGTGCAGCAAACCACCACGACACATGTATTCCTATGTAACAAGCCTGCACGCTCGACACATGTATCCCAGAACTTAAAGTAAAATAAATTAATTTTTAAAAAGAGAAAGGGCTGGTTCCTGCTTAGCCTTTAGAGAAGAAAGCCTAGCGGTGGTTAGCAAGGGACGGGCTCTGATGAGGCATGTTTGACCTCCCATTGCATCAGGGCTGGGACTCAGTTTTAAGGTTTTTTTGGGGTCCCCTTGGCCAACAGGGGGGTCCATTCAGTAGTCTGGGGTGGGGGGAAGGGCTTAGGATTTCATTTTTATTTCTCAGAATGTACTGGAGATTCGTTAAATGATTATGACCAAAATGCTCATAGAAATATGGGCAGTGAAGGCCAGGTTGATGAGGTCTCAGATGAAAATGAAGAACTTATTGGGAGCTGGAGCACAGGTCACCCTCGTCACACATTAGCAAAGAACTTGGCTGCATTGTGCCAATGTCCTAGGGCTTTGTGGAAGGCTGAGCTTCAGAGTGATGACTTAGGGTATCTGGAGGAAAAAAAATTTCTATGCAGCCAAGTATTCAAGAAGTGGCAAGGCTGCTTCTACCAATCTAAGATCAGATATGGGGCAAAGGAATGACTTAAAGTTGGGACTTACAATTTAAAGGGAAGTAGAGTGTAAAAACTTGGAAAATCTGCAGCCTGGCTCATGGTAGAGAAGGAAAGAACATTTCAGGAGAGGAACCCAAAGGATAAGAATCCAAGAGGCATGAGGAACAACCACTTGCTGGAGAGGTTAGCATGACAGAAAGGGAAGCAGGTGCTACTAGTCAAGACAATGAGAAAAAGGCCTCAAAGGCACTTCAGAAATCTTCCAGGCTGCTCCTCCCACCGCAAGCCCAGAGGCCTAAGAGGACAGACTGGTTTCAGGGACGAGGCCAGGGGCATTGCTACTCGGTGCTGCCTTGGGTTGCTGCTTCCCTTATCCCAGCCAGAGGATGGGAACATCCCAGGTTAGTTACAAGGGAAAATGTGGGGTTGGAGTCCCCACAGAGAGCCCCCGCCAGGGCACTACCTAGTGGAGCAGTGGGAATGAGGCCACTACCCTCCAGACTCCAGAATGGTAGAACCACTAGCAACTTGCACCTTAGCCTAGAAAAGCCACAGTTACTCAACTCCAACCTGTGAGAGCAAGAACAGCAGCTGTACCTTGCAAAGCAGGCACAGAGGCAGGGCTGCCTAAGCCCTTGCGAGCCCATCCCACACAATCATGTATCCAGGATTTGGGACATGGGGTCAAGGGAGATTATATTGAAGCTTTAAGATTTAATGTCTTCCCTGCTGGGTTTCAGACTTGCAGAGGCTTGTTGCCTCTTTCTTGTGGCCAATTTCTCTCTTCTGGGATGGGAATATTCACTCAATGTCTGTGTCACCATTGTATCAATATATTGGGAGTAAACAACTTGTTTTTGATCTTACGGGCTCATAGGTGGAAGGGAATTGCCTTGAGTCTCAGATGAGACTTTGGACTTTTGAGTTGATGCTGGAATGAGTTAGAACTTTTGGAGACTATTGGGGAAGGATGACTGTATTTTCCAATGTGAGAAGGACATGAATTTGGGGGGCAAGGAATGGAATAATATAGTTTGGATTTTTGTCCCCTCCAAATCACATGTTGAAATCTGATCCCTCATGTTGGAGGTGGGGCCTGGTGGGAGATGTTTGGATCATGGGGGTGAATCCTCCATGAATGGCTTGGTGACCTCTTCATGGTAGTGAGTGAGTTCTCACTCCATTAGTTCATGTGATAGCTGTTGTTTAAAGAGCTTGAACTTCCTCCCTTCCCTCTTGCTCCCTCTCTCACCATGTGACACACCTGCTCGCCCTTTACCTTCCACCACAAATGGTAGCTTCCTGAGGCCTCAGCAGAAGCAGATGCTGGCACCGTGTTTCTTACATGGTCTGCAGAATGGTGACGCAAATAAACTTCTTTTCTTTATACACTGCCCAGCCCCAGGTATTCCTTTATGGCAATGCAAAATGAACTAACACACTGGTGTTTTTTTTTTTTTTTTTTTTTTTTTTAAGACAGAGTCTTGCTCTGTTGCTAGGCTGGAGTGCAGTGGCACAATCTTGGCTCACTGCAACCTCCGTTTCCGGGGTTCAAGTGATTTTCCCGCCTCAGCCTCCTGAGTAGCTCGGACTACAGGCGCCCGCCACCACGCCCAGCTAGTTTTGGTATTTTTAGTAGAGACCGGGTTTTGCTGTGTTGGCCAGGATGGTCTCTTGACCTCATGATCTGCCCGCCTGGACCTCCCAAAGTGCTGGGATTACAGGCGTGAGCCACTGTGCCCAGCCGGTGTTTTTTAAAATCAAGATTTTAAAGCTGCAATGGACTGTTTCCTGTTTCTTTCAAAATCTCTGGTAGAGGCCCTTCCACTTTCCTGTTGACTCTAGAGAGTCCATCCCAGCCTGTGGTTTTCGCCTTCCTAGACAGCTGGGTGATTTCAGCCAAGACACTTAATATCTGTTAAAAGGCAAAACGCATCATAGCAATCTCACTGGTTATTTCTTGCAATGAATGGGAGAGTGTATATGAACAGGTTTTTTAAAGAAAAGTAGGAGAAGTGGCAAATTGACCTCCATGATAAATAAAATGACATCACTTATTCTAAAAGTTAATATTTCAAGGAATAAGGTAATCTTTAGTGTTTTATTTCCCGGGACAAATGCTGTGTTGCATTTATACATCTTAAATGTTTTACTGGGGTCAGTGCTGTGATCTTAGATGGGCCGTTAAAACTAGCAAGGAACCTTTCATTGATATCCAGCGTTTAGTATATTTGCATCTAGTGACTCCTTGTATCTCAGCTCCTGAGGGTGGGGCACATAGTGGAGCAGGTGACCCTCAAGTTCCAACCCCTGGGTCTCAACCTGTTACAACTGCCCCCACCCCCACCATTCCCGCTCCCTGACAACCCTGGGTTGCTAAGGTGTTCCTTTGAATGGGGTGTGTGTATGTCAGGAGATACAGCTCCTGAGTCTTTGATGGTTGGAGGGTGGAATGACCTCAGGGTTGTGTTCAAACACTCACCAAAAGCCCAGTCTGGCATAGGATCTTTCTTTGAGGCAATGGCAAGAAGGATGCCCCAGCAGTGGCTGACCCAATTAATTCACTCCACTGCAGGACATGTGGGCTCTGCTTCTCCAGCGTCTCAGATAGAGTGTGGGCCGGCAGCTGAGAAGATAGCAGTTGTAGCAACTCTTAACCCCCAGCTCCTGGGGTTGCCTTGGACAGAAGCCAAAGGAAGGAGAGGAAAATACACAGGAGGTGTGCTTTGCACATTTTTTTCCCCCTTGAGAGAGGGGGAAGATTGTGAGGGAGAACAAAAAGTCTGTGGAAAAGGAAAGCCTTGCTTATTTATTTTAAAGGAGACTAGAGGAGGACAAAACACCATGACCTTGGGGAGAATATTGTCTGTTGTATTTGGGTGCTCATTATCTACGTGGCACTGGCTAAGTACTCCAACTGGGTATAGATTTCTCAACCCCAAGCCCCAGTGTGCATGAAATCCTTTCTGTAACTTCATTTCTATCCAGGACTCTCATTTCATCCCATAGTAGAAACTTAATTCAAGATCATTCAGCCAATCTGAGTTTTGTCTGTCTGTCTGTTTGTTTGTTTTTTGCATGCTTGGAATTTGGCACCTTTTTGCTTTCATCCCCCATCTTTCCTTCCCCAGGACTTGCACCTGAAATCTGGGGGCCTCAACATATCCCATCAAGACATTGGGGGTGGGAACAGTGAGAGGGTGAGTGGTGGCACACAGGTCCTGGGTGCTGGTTCTTTTGGGTGCTGAGTATGAGGCCTTCTCCCAGGCACTTCCGCCTGTGCCATCTCAGCTTCACTCTCCAGAACCCCCATGAGACTGCAGGCCCGCTAGCCTCACTTAAGGCCCTGGAAATTTCTGCTTTGCTGCTGCCTTCCCCGACAGGCCTATGAGCAAAAGCCCAACCCTCGCCACTTTCCTGCGTCCCTCTGGATAGCTCCAGCCTTGGGGCTGCTCTGCCAGATCTGTCTTGCTTTCCTCCCAGCTTGGGAGCTCACCTTGCCCTGCCTGTGGTCCAGCCCTGGCGCCATCTCCCTCTCCAGGGTGTCCAAGCAGCAGGGCAGGAACAGGGAACTTTCAACAAGTCTTCCAAGCCAAGCTTGGCTTTCCAATCCTCTCCAAAGACACTGCTTTCTTTCTCTGCATTTCTTCTGTTACTGCTCACCCAGGGCAGCAAGTAGACACTGCTGGGCAAAGTGGAGTAGTTGAGATTCATAGATGTTACTGCACTTGACCCGTCTTTAAAAAAGGACTCATGGATGTGTATTTAAAGTCTTGTTTGTTGCTTGCACAGTCTCACTGCTTCAACTGTTTTGAAATATGTGCTGAATCCTACTCTGTGGATTTCTGAAAAATTTCTCTCTGGCAAAGCATCTGAGAAAATGTGATATTTTATTATTTTAGCCTGAGAATTTGGCTCCTGTAATAGTAGGTCCTACTGAAAAAATATAGGCATAGCATTTCTATAACAGGATGGTAAAGACAAGCAGATTACCAGGAATGGACACCCAGCACTGGGTTTCTTTATTTTATGATATTCATGTTTATTTCCTTTTTGTAAGGTTTACCTTAATCTGCGGTTATTTGCATATGTGTCATAAGAAAGACCAAAAGGATTGAATGAATCTGGGCCCCTTAATGGTAGGTAAGATAACTACTAATCTACTAATGGTAGATAAGATACTACTTTCAGCAAGCAGACAGGCCACGCTGCAGGCCATTGTGTCTCTGAGGCCTATGAGGCGATTATGGCTGATGAGTGAGGGGTCTGAGTTGGCAGGAAGGACTGGAAGCAGGCTCAGTGGAGGTGACGTGACGTGACCCAAAGGCAGTTTGCATTTTTTCCCCCAAGACTGGGGAATGAGACCAGGGTTATATGGCAAGACCAGTGCCCTACTGGTTGGGCACCAGTATCTGTCCACCTGTGGAAAGTCTAGGCTAGTTTGGGATTTCACAGACTTCTTCAAAATTGCAAGGGCACTGAATACACTTGATGAGTGTATGTCACCAAATTCTTTCTTCCCCCATATCCCAAATTGGTTGTAGTAGACACTCTTGGTGCCCTGTCCTATATGCTGGGATGCTTTTGACCCTTTCTGTGCCTCTTCCACATGTCTTGTGGCTTTGAGGTGCCTGGGAGTTTGCATTCCCCTCCCAGCCAAGGTCTGGCCTGATCTCTCACCTTTTTTTTTTTTTTTTGTAAAGCACCAACCAGGGATTTATAGAAATACAACTAGCATCAAAAAATTCAAAACTTTACATAAACCCTAACCAGGATGCCAAGTGGTTGAGGCCAAGGGCAGAATGTTTGACTCTTCCACTTAGCCAGCTGCCAAGTGAAAACCAACAAAGATGATGAATCAAGAAAATGAGAAACAAAGATTCACGCAAAGCTGCAGGAGTGGAGTTGGAGAAACATGTCCGTGTTACACCGGGAATAGCCAAGGGAGACCACGGGGGCAGATCAGACCAGGTGCTGGGAGGGCTTCACCCAATGTAAGAGCCTAGCTCCTTTGCCTGCTGTTGGGACACCCCTATATGGAACTTATACTCCAGAATAGCCCTGCTGAAAGCTACGCTCTGTGAGCTTGGCTTCTTCCCAATCTTTTTTCTGCTTACCTCATTCTCTTAGGTTTTTTTGGGGGAGCTCTTTTTAAATACATCATCTTCACACAGATCTTTGTCTTAGGGTCTGCTTCTGGGGAACTGGACCTCAGTCATTGGTTCTTCTTGGATCTGAGCCACGGTGGAGGGTGTGCTAATAGTTAGATCCTGCCTGCCTCCAGGTCCACAGATACAAAGCTGGAAGATCCACTTCTGAGATGGCTCACTCACATGGCTGTCAATTTGGCATGACATCTTGACTCCTCTCCACAGGGACCTCCATAGGGCAGCATGGGCTTCCTCACAGCATGGCATCTGGGTTCTAAGAGTGAGTATTCCAAGAGTCAGCAAGTGGAAGCTGACAGTTTTGTAAGGCCAGAGCCTGGAAACTGACACAACATCACTTCTGCTATATTTTACTGCTTAAACAGTCACAAAGCCCAGATGCTAATGGGGAGGTCGAAGATGTTGCCTATAAATGAGAGCGTATCAGCATATTTTGAAGCCATGTTTTAAAACCCCCACAAGCATTTTCCATCAAGTTGAGGCAGCTGGAAACCTGAGAGCAGGTTCATTCATTCCATCTTGTCTCTTCCCCCTACTCCTTCCCTACCAGCCCCTGACGACGACAAATCTGCCTTCTGTCTCTATGGATTTTCCTATTCTGGATATTTCAAAGGAATGAAATCATACAATATGTGGCCTTTTGTGTATGCCTTCTTTCACTTTGCATAATGTTTTCAAGGCTTACCCACGTTGTAATGTGTATCAGTACTTCAGTTTTTACGGCTGAATAATAGTCTATCGTGGCACATACCACATTTTGTTTACCCATTTACCAGTTGATGAACACTGGAGTTCTTTCCATCCTTTGGCTATTGGAAATAGTGCTGCTAAAAATATTTGTAAACAAGTTTTTGTCTGAACTCCTGATTTTAATTCCTTTCATGATATTCCCAGGAGTGAAATTGCTGGGTGGTATGGTAAGTCTATGTTTAACTTATTAAAGGGCCACAGTACTATTTTCCACAGTGGCTGTACCATTTCAGATTACCACCAGTAATGCTTGAGGATTCCAATTTCTCCACATTTTCACCAATAATTGTCATTTTCCATAGTGGGTGTAAAGTGGCAAGTCTTTGTGATTTTTTTTTTCATTTTTCCATTAACTCATAATGTCAAGCATCGTTTCATGTGCTTCATGGCCATTTGTATATCTTATTTGGAGAAATGTCTATTCAAGTTTTTTGCCCATTTGATTTTATTTTTAGAGATAGGGTCTTGCTGAGTTGCCCAGGCTAGAGTGCAGTGGCACGATCATAGCTCACTATAATTTCAAACTCCTGGGCTCAAGTGATCCTCCAATCCTCCTGCTTCAGGCTCACAAGTAGCTGGAACTACAGGCGTACCACCACACCTAGGGTTTTTTTTGGTGGTGGTAGTGGGGGGTGTATAAACGAGATCTTGCTATGTTGACCAGGCTGGTCTCAAACTCCTGGCCTCAAATGATCCTCCTGCCTTGACCTTCCAAAGTGCTGGGATTGCAGGTGTGAACCACTGCACCCAGCCCTGTTTGCCCATTTTTAAATTGAGCTGTTGTCTTTTTGTTGTTGAACTTTAAGTGTTGATTATGTATTCTGGACACCAGATACTTATCAGATATGTATATAATTTAAAAATATTTTCTCCTATTCTGTGGTTGTCTTTTTACTCTCACTATAATGTTCTTTGATGCACAAAAATTTTTAATTTTGATAAAGTCTAATTTATTTTTTCTTTTGTTAATTATGCTTCTGGTGTCATATCTAAGAATTGATTGCCAAATCTAAGATGATGAAGATTTGCTACTTCTAAGAGTTTTATAATTTCAGCTCTTATTTTTAGGTCTTCGAAGTTTTTTGAGTTAAATATGGTGTGAGGCAGGGGTCCAACTTCATTCTTTCACATGTGCATATCCAGTTGTTCCAGCACTGCTTGTTGAAAAGATGATTCTTTCCTCATAAATTGGTCTTGGCACCCTTGTCAGAAATCAATTGGCCATAGATGTATGGGTTTATTTCTGGACTCTTAATTCTATTCCATTGATCTTTATGGGTATTGTTATTCCAGTACCACACTGGGGTTTTCTTTTTTTCTGTTACCTCAAATATTTATTATTTCTTTGTGGCAAGAACATTTAAAATCCTCCCTTTTAGCTATTTAGAAATATATAATACATTATTATTAACTATAGTCAACATGTTGTGCAGTAGAACACCAGAAATTATTCCAACTGGAACTTTGCATTCATTTACCAACATCTCCCCTTTGTCCACCTCTTCCCTACTTCTACCATTCTACCCTCTACTTCTATGAATTTGACTTTTCTAAACTCCACATATAGCTGAGAACATACTAAATTTATCTCTCTGTGCCTAGCTTATTTGACTTAACATAATGTCCTCTAGTTTCATCCATGTTGTTGCAAATGACAGAATTTCCTGCTTTTTAAAAGTTTGAATAGTATTCTGTTGTGTATATATACCTCATTTTTAAAATCCCTTCATCTGTTGATGGATTGATGGACACTTCATTTGTTTTCCTATCTTGGATATTGTGAATAATGCTGCAGTGAACATGGGAGTGCAGACATCTCTTTGGCACGCTGATTTCAATTTTTTTTTGTGTGGCAAATATCCAATAGTAGGATTGATGGATCATATGGTAATTCTATTTTTACTTTTTTGGGGAAACTGTTCTGTTTCCAAAATGGTTGTGCTAATTTACAATATTATCCATAGTGTATAACAGTTCCCTTTTCTCCACATTCTCGTCAACACTTGTTATCTTTTGTCTTTTTGTTAATAGCCAATCTAACATATGTAAAATGATGTCTCATTGTAGTTTTAAATTTGCATTTCTCTGATGATCAGAGATATGGACTTTTTTTCATATATATGTTGACCATTTTCATGTCTTCTTCTGAGAAATGTCTACTCAAGCCCTTTGCCCTTTTTTTTTTTTGAGACGGAGTCTCGCTCTGTTGCCCAGGCTGGAGTGCAGTGGCATGATCTCGGCTCACTGCAAGCTCTGCATCTCAGGTTCATGCCATTCTTCTGCCTCAGCCTCCCGAGTAGCTGGGACTACAGGTGCCTGCTACCATGTGCCTGCCACCACGCCTGGCTAATTTTTTGTATTTTTAGTAGAGATGGGGTTTCACCATGTTAGCCAGGATGGTCTCAATCTCCTGACCTTGTGATCCGCCTGCCTCAGCCTCCCAAAGTGCTGGGATTACAGGCGTGAGCCACCACACCTGGCCGCCCTTTGCCCATTTTTAAATAGGGTTATGTTTTCTTGTTATTGAGTATTTTGAGTTCCTTGCATATTTTGTATATTAGCCTCTTATCTGATGTATGATTTGTAAATATTTTCTCCCAATCTGTAGGGTTGTCTCTTGATTCTATTGTTTCCTTTGCTCTGCAGAAGCTTTTTAATTTGTTATAGCACCATTTTTTTTTAAGTTTTACTTTTGTTGCCTGGGCTTTTGGAGTCATATCCAAAAAAATTTCTCCTCAGACCACGAGCTCCCCTATGTTTATTTTCTAGTAGTTTTATAGTTTCAGGTCTTACAATTAAGTCTTTAATCATTTTTTGAATTGATTCTTTTATAAAGGGTGAGATAAGGGTCCATTTTTATTATTTCACATGTGGATATATAGTTTTCCCAACACCATTTATTGCAGAAACTGCCCTTTACCCATTGTGTGTTCTTGGCACCTTTGTCAAAACTCAATTGACTGTAGATGTGTGGGTTTATTTCTGGGCTCTCTATCCTATTTCTCTGGTCAACATGTCTGTTTTTATGCCAGTACTTGCTGTTTTGATTATGATAGCTTTGTAACCAAATCTTTGTATATTTTGAAATCCCATAGTTTTGTGCTCCAACTTCGTTCTTTTTGGTCAAGATTGCTTTGGTTATTTGGGATCTTTGTGGTTTTATGTAAATTTTAGGATTTTTCAAAATTTCTCAGAAGAATGACATTGGATTTTTGATAGAAATTGCATTGAATCTGTAGATTACTTTGGGTAGTATGAACATTTAAACAATAATACTTCTTCCAATCAATGAACATGAGATATCTTTCCATTTATTTGTGTCATCTTCAATTTCTTTTATCAATGCTTTATAGTTTTTATAATACAGATCTTTTATTTGGTTAAATTTACTTCTATGTGCTTTTTTGTAGCTATTGTAAATTGAATTGTTTTATTGATATATTTTTCAGACATTTCATTGTTATTATATTGAAATGCTACTGATTCTTGTATATTGATTTTGTATCCTGCAAATTTACTAAATTTTTTTATGAGTTCTGTCCATTTCTTTGTGGAGTCTTTGGGATTTTCTACATATAAAATCATGTTGTTAATATACAGAGAAAACTTTATTTCATTCTTTCCTATTTGGATGCTTTTTATTTCTTTCTCTTGCCTAATTGCTCTGGCTAGGACTTCCAGGACCGTGTTGAACAGAAGTGGTGAGAGTGGACATTTTTGCCTTGATTCTAATCTTAGAGGAAATGCGCTCAACTTTTCATCAATAAATATGATGCTAACTGTGGACCTGTCGCATATGGCCTTTATTGTGTTCAGGAATATTTCTTCTATTCCTCAGTTGTTGAGAGTTTTTAATCATGAAAGATTATTGAATTTTGTCAAATGCTTTTTCAGCATCAATTGAAATGATCATATGATTTCTGTTCTTTATTTTGTTAATATGGTGAATCACATTTATTTATTTACACTTCTTGAACCAACCTTGAGCCAAAGGAATAAATCTCACTTGATCATGGCGAATATCCTTAAAATGTACTATTAAATATAGATTGCTGGTATTTTGTTGAAGATTTTTACATCTATGTTCATCAGTGGTATTGACCTGTAGTTTTCTTTTCTTGTAGTATCTTTGTCTGGGTTTGGTATCTGGGTAAAGCTGGCTTTGAAAAATGAATGTGGAAGTATTTCCTGTTCTTCAGTTTTTTGGAAGAGTTTGAAAAGGATTTGGTATAACTTATTCTTTAAATGAATATAAAGAATTCATCCACGAAGCCATCTGGTCTTGGGCTTTCCTTTGATGGAAGACAATTACTGATTCAGTCTCCTTATTCATTACTGATCTGTTCAGATTTCCAATTTCTTCATGATTCGGTCTTGGTAGGTTATATGTTTCTAGGATAGTAGTTTCCTACCTTTGTATTTTTGTGTTATCAGTTGTACTATTTCCTCTTTCATTTCTGATTTTATTTAAATGTAATCTTCCCCCCTTTTTTAGTTTAGCTAAGTGTTTATCAGCTTTGTTTAATTTCCTAAAAAACAACTGTTAGTTTCATTGATCTTTTCTATTGTTTTCCCAGTCACCATTTCATGTATCTCTGTTCAAATCTGTTATTTTCTTCTTTTTGCTAACTTTAGGCTTGGTGTTTTCTTCTTTTTCTAGTTCATTCAGGTGTAATGTTAAATCACTTATTTGAGATCTTTCTTCTTTTGTGATGGAGGCATTTGCTGCCCTTGTAGAACTTCTTTTGCTGTGTTCCATAAGTTTTGGTAGTTGGGTCTTTTAAAAAAATACATTCAGCCACTGTATTCCTTTTGACTGGAGAATTTAATCTATTACATTTGAAGTAATTATTGATGGGTAAAGATGTACTAGTGCCATGTTATTGTTTTCTGATTGTTTTATAGATCCTATGTTCCTTTCTTTCCCTGTTGCTTTCTACTTTTGTGGTTTGATAGCTTTCTGTAGTGGTATGTTTTGAATTTTGTCTTTATATCTTTTGTGTATCTATTATAGGCTTTTGCTTTATGGTTGGCCTGAGGGTTTACATAAAAATCTTATACGTATAACCAGTACCAAACTGTTTTGATTAGCATTGCACTAAGCATTGTGCTAAGTTTTAAAATAGGAAAGTGTGTGTTCTTCAATTTTGTTTTTCTTTTTCAACACTGTTTTGGCTATTTGGGGCCCCTTGTAATTTCATGTATTTCATTTACTAGTGAAACCATCTAGTCCTGGGCTTTTATTGTTGCTGTTGTTGAGAGGTTTCTGAATACTGACTTAATTTCCTTACTTATTATAGATCGACTCAGATTTTCTATTTCTTCTTAAGTCAGTTTTGGTAGTTTGCATGTTTCTAGGAATTTGTCCATTTAATCTAGGTTATCTAAGTTGTTTGTAATAAAATTTTTCATAGTATTCTCATAATTTTTAATACTTCTGGAAAGTCAGTAGTAATGTCACCACTTTAGTTTCCGTTTTTAGTAATTAGAGTATTCTCTTTTTCTTTCCTGGTCAGTATAGCTACAGGTTTGTCAAATTTGTTGATCTTCTCAAAGAATCAACTTTTGGTTTTGTTAATTCTCTACTGTTTTCCTATTCTCTATTTTATTTATCTCTACTTTAATTTTATTATTTCCTACTTCTGCTAGTTTTGGGTTTAGTTGCTCTTTTTTCTCATTCTTGAAGGTGTAAAATTAGATTATCAATTTGAGATCTTGTTTTTTAATGTAAACTTTTAATTAAGAGTTATAAATGTCTCTCTCAGACTGCTTTCAGTGAATCCCATAAGTTTTGGTAGCTTGTGTTTTCATCTTCATTTCTATCAAAGTATTTTCTAATTTTTCTTGTGATTTCTTCATTGGCCCATTGATGGTTTAAGAGTGTATTATTTCATTTCTTCATTTTTTTGATTTTTCCAGCTTTCCTTTGGTTATTGATTGCTAGTTTCAGCCCATTGTTGTTAGAGAAGATATTCTATGTGACTTTAATCTTTCAAAATGTATTGAGACTTATTTTGTGGCTTAACATATGATCTGTTCTTGAGAATGTTCCAGGTCACTTGAGAAGAATATACATTACGCTGTTGTTGGGTAGAGTGTTCTGTATATGTTAGTTAGGTCTAGTTGGCTTATGGTGTTTTTCAAATCCTCTGTTTTCTTATTGTTCTTCTTTGTCTAGTTCCATTTATTATTGAAAGTAGGGCACGGAAGTGTCTAACTATTATTGTAGAACTGTACATTTCTCTCTTCGATTCTGTTTTTTCTTCAAGTATTTTGGGACATTGTTGTAGATGCATACATGTTTATACTTTTTTTATCTTTTTGATGATTTGGCCATTTTATTATTATAAAATATTCTTCCTTGTCTCTAGTAAAAATTTTTGTCATATATTAATATGGCCACTTGAGTCTTTTTTGATCACTATTTGCATTTTTAAAATTCCTTTATTTTCAATCTCTGTGTTCGGGGATCTAAAAGGGTCTCTTTTAGACAGCATATAATTGGAGCATTTAAAAAAATCAATTCTGCCAATCTCTGCCCTTTAATTTTAGAGTGTATTAATCATGGTTCTTCAGAAAAAAATTAATAGGATGTGTGAGTGTGTGTGTTCCTGTGTATGTGTGTGTATAAATATTACTGTCTTAAGGAATTTTCCCATGTGATTATAGAGGCTTAGCAAGTCCAAAATTTGATGGGATAAGCCAGCAGACTGGGGATTCAGGGAAGAGTTGCAGCTTGAGTCCAGAGGCAGTCTGCTGGCAGAATTCCTTCTCGCTCAGGGAGGTCAGTCTTTGTTCTGGTAAAGCCTTCAGATTCATTTGGTGAGAGCCACACACATTATGAATGACAATCTGCTTTACTAAAACTCCACTGATTTAAATGTTAATCTTTTCCAAAAACACCATCTCAGAAACATCCAGAATAATATTAGGCCATATATCTGGGCACCATGGTCCAGTCAATTTGACATAAAATTAACTAGCATAAATCTACCCTTTGTCAACCTGTCATCCATATGCATTTCCTTAAATCATACTTAATCTGCAAATAAAGACAAAACAATATTATACTTCTGCCTAACATGATACAACTATTCTGTGTACAACCAAAACCACACTAACTCTCCACCAGAAAAGAATGCAAAGTCTTTTGGTGATGTCTACTCCTCTCCTTGATATTCTGTAACTAAAATGCTATGACATAAAGTCAATACTTCTTATTACATAATAAAAGGATAAGAGAAAAAACCAAAGATGTTTCATATTATACACACAAACATATTGACAATGAAAATAAATAAATACTCATGACAATTATAATAATCCTTTTCTATAATTAGTCATATGATTGTTGCTGGTATTTATAACTACCTCTTCCTGTACCCATTCCATATTTTCTTGCCCTCAGAAAGCACCTTTTGTTGTGGTTCTTTATCTGGTGGGCTGCCCAAACCTTTATTCCTGAATAATCTTAGACAGTAGTAGTCATGTCTGGATTGGGTTGTTGTGGTTTTCAGTGGACCCTAATCACAGGGCATGGTAATACTAAGAGATACTCTAAGGGAGCTTCTGTATTACGAATATATTCTTCCTTACTTCCATTATGGAATAGCAGTCAAATTTTTCCTTAGTAGTCAGGATTAAGCCCATTTATGCCTAATGTTCCATTATTGGAACACTGAGCATGTGGAAGTTATTTATTTCTTACTGCTCAGGGTCATCACCAAGGTCTGTTTTTTCACACATGTCTGGAATTCAAAAAATTGCAGGCTCTGACATAAATGGGTTAATAAACCCAGCCAGAATAGTAACTCCTTCTTTGCCTGTTGATTAGAGGCATGAAGACCACAGAGTGGCTGGATAGCATTATTAACTTCTGGTTTAATGAAATCATTGTGTCTCCTGGTGGAAGTATTCCTTCCTTGGGAAGGAAGACCTCTGGGTCAGCAAAGCATAAGGTCACAGGAAAAGGAAGAAAAAATTTTGCTAGTGGGTCACTAGGAGCAATAGTCAGTGTTGCCACTTCCGCTTCCACCCCTTGATTCCTGGATCTGTGAATTCTGGCTGTGGGAGAAACAGCACCATGTATTAGATGTTGATTCAGAACATATACAGCCTCCAGGAGAACCTTGACT
This sequence comes from Homo sapiens, assembly GCF_000001405.40. Taxonomy (NCBI): domain Eukaryota; kingdom Metazoa; phylum Chordata; class Mammalia; order Primates; family Hominidae; genus Homo; species Homo sapiens. Next base: position 92,552,126 of record NC_000015.10, on the reverse strand, counting down.
CTGCCAAGTTGATGCATAAAATTAACTGTCACAGATAGTATAATTCATTTACATTAAAAGTAATTACTTATAAGAAATAGTTAATTTTGCCATTTTACTATTTTTTTCTATACGTCATATCTTTTTCTATTCCTCATTTTCTCCATTACTACCTTCTTTTGTGTTTAACTGATTTTTTTCTAGTGTCTTGTTTTGATTCTCTTCTAATTTTCTCTTTATATTTTTTAGTTACTTTCTTATTGGTTACCATGGGGATGACAGTGAACATCTCACACTTATAACTTTCTAGTTGGAATTAATCATCAACTTAGCTTCTATCATATACAAAGTGCTGCTCCGATATTGCTCCTTCCACCTCACATATAGTTGTTATTATCACAAATTTCATCTTTTTACATTGTGTACCCATTAACATATCTCTGTAATTACTATTCTGAAAATGTATCTTTGAAATAGTATTTTAAAAACAGGAGTTATAATCTCAGGATGAAATAATATTGGCTTTTATATGTGCTTGTGTAGAAATAATTACCCTTCTTGGTGTTCTTTTATTTTTTGGTTTGGTTTTGAGTTTCTGTATAATTTCCTTTCATTTCGATCTGAAGAAGGCCCGTTAGCATTTCTTGTAGGTCTACTAGTGATAAATTCTCTCAGATTTTTTTTATCTGGGAATGCCTTAATTTCTCCTTAATTATCAAGGATAACTTTTCTAGATATATACTTCTTTGTTGATAGCTTTCTCCCCTCCCCATAGCTTTGTGTCATTCTACTGCTTTCTGTCATACCTGGTTTCTGACGAGTAATAGCTTGTTAATCTTACTGAGAATCTCTTTTATGTGATGTCTTTTCTCTTTTGCTACTTCACAACTTCCTTTTTGTCTTTTGACAGCTTAATTATATGTCTTCATGTGGATCTCTGAGTTTATTTTACTTGAAGTTTGTTGAACTTCTTGGATATGTAGATTCATGTTGCTCATAAAATTTGGGAATGTCTCAAGGCATTATTTCCTCAAGTAGTCTTTCTGCCTTTTTCTGTTTTTTTTTCTCTACCTCTGGGACACTCCCATTATGCATATGTTGGCATGCTTTATGGTGTCCCAAAGATCTTACAGGCTCTATTCATTTTTTATTTTTACACTCCCCTCATGAGGCCAGATCTATTCATTTTTCTTCATTGGTTTTCCTTTCTACTCCTCAGATGGGATAACCTCAATTGACCTATTTTCTAGTTTACTGTTTTTTCTTTCCTGCCTGCTGAAATCTGCCATTGAATCCATCTAATAAGGTTTTTGGTATTTTATTATAATTTTCAACATCAAAATTTCTATTTTTTTCTTTTTTATACTCCATATCTCTTTATTAACATTCTCTGTTTGTTTAGACATTGTTCTCTTGGTTTCCTTTATTTCTTTGTACATGATTTCCATTAGCTCCTTGAGCATATTTAAGATAATTTATTTAAATTCTCTGTCCAGTAAATCTAATATTTGGCCTTTCTCAGGGATGATTTCTCTGTATTTCTTTTTTTCTTGTGAACGAGTCATATTCTCTTGTTACTTTGCATGCCTTTTTTTTTTTTGGTTGAAAACTGGACATTATTAATATTCTAATGTGGTAACTCTGGAAATCAGCTTCTGCTCCATCTTCATGATTTGTTATTGTTACTTAATGTGGGATACTTGTTTATTTGTTTAGTGACTTCTCTAAATTGTTTTTGTAAAAACAGTATTCTTTGTTGTGTGTGATCACTTAAGTCTCTGTGTGTTCTAATCTCTTCTTATAAGAATAGCAGTCATATTGGATTAGGGCCCAGCCTAATGGCCTCATTTTACCTTAATTACCTCTTTAGAGATCCTATCTCCAAATAAAATCATGTTCTGAGATACTGGGAGTTAGGGATTCAACATATGAATTTTTTTGTGGGGGGGCAGGTAGAGTTTAGCCCGTAATAACCACCCCAGTAGGTAGGAAGAAGTCTAGGAATCCCCTGTCTAGAATCTAGGATCGTTAAGTCTAGGATCTCCGCTGACATTGTAGGGAAACTAGGGTGTTTTTTTCCTTTTCCTGGAGGGTCTAAAAGTCCTAGATTTCCATTCAGTCTTCTCTGACACTACCCTGGTTGGAGGGGGATAGTGGTTGGGGTACCTCATTTATAGTCTTTCAAGGGTGGATATTTAGGCTTTTCATATGTCCTTTGCTGGCATGGGTTGGGTGGAACTAAGTTTTTTTATTTTCTGTGGTACTCGGCTGAGTGGACAGGTTATTGTCTAAGAGTTTTCTGTCTTGCTAAGCTGCCCTTTCCTGGTCTTTTGGCTACAGAGAGCAGGCTTTTGTTTGGGCGTGTTTTTTTTTTTTTTGTCTGTGCCTGTTAGCATATATGTGTATATATATATGCTAGCAGCAGGAGGAGATCAACCACAAAACAGCTTCCCTCTACCAAATGCCACAGCTTAGCTGGGGTAGCCTTCTTCTTCAGCTGCAACTCTGACTCTTTCTAGGTTCTGGTAATCATCTCTACCATGCCCGTCAAGGTCACAGTTATAATGGTTCCTTACTATTGCTAGCCCTGGCATGCACACTGTTCCTTGTTTATTTTCCTTAACCGTACCCACTCCTTTGAACATGTTTCTTTACTAAATTCTCTTGTTGAAGTGCTCCATCAGCATCTTGACAGCAAACTGACCAATCATCATGTAACCACATTATGGCCAAAAAGATGTTGGCTAAGTGTCACATGCCATCTTCCATGATCTTTCTTTAGGTGTTAGTCTCTCATATTTGTTACTTATTCCTTCCTCCTGCCTGGAACATGATGCTGCCATCCATGTTGAATAATGAGGACAAGAGCCACCTCCTAAGATGGGAATGCCACGAGCTGGAAAAAGCCTGCATCTTTGAGGATTTTGTGACAAAGAGGTAGCTGTGTCAGTCCAGAACTGATGACAACACTTACTGGCTGTGGGATATTGGGCAAATTACTTAATCTTTTTGGATCTTATCTGGGATTCCTTATCAGTTTCCTTATCTGTGCAGTGAGTTTTAATATTAATTACTGTATGGGCTTACTATGAAGATAAAATAAGGTAATTTATATACAAGTGCTTAGCAAATGCATGCAAACAAAAAAAGTTTAATAAATATTTGTGAATTTACCTTTAATGAAAACTCCAAACCTTTATACTCCTGCAGAGAAGATGCATGGCCTATACTTACTTTCACCAAGGGAATCATAACACCTTAGATTTGCAGCTTGCAAAGAGCTTTGATGTTCATTATCATATTTAACCATGGAACACCTCTGTAAGGGAGGAAGCAGCTCTGCATGACCATTCTTTGTTGTTGTTGTTGTTGTTTAATTGGAAAATGAAGAGCCACAGAGAAGGAAATAACTTGCAGGATACTTACCTAACTAGCTAACTAGTTACTAATAAGTAACAAAACCAGGCTTAGAATTTTGTTACCATACCTCCATGGGAGAGAGACATAGGCAACTGAATATTCTTATTGGAAAATCTTGTTATGTTTTCTGCCTAAATTATCAAAAAAAGTCCTGTGGTGAAATAATCAGGCCCCAGATAGCAGATTATATAAGGGGCAAATTTGCTAATTTTTCACCAACGTAACTTATTGTTGCACAATCAGTATCAGGGCAGCTGGAAGACTTTTGGGAATGTGAAAATGATGGGTGACATCCATAAACAATTAGGAAGAAATCTTCAGAGTCTGTCATGCTTGGAATAAAGATGTCCAGGTGGTTGTAATCAGTATTTTCACTAGTTGGGAACTTTGGAGAAAAGAAGTAGAGAAACTAGAGCGTTGTAATTGGTAGCTACAAAGGGAAGTTCAAGTCTGTTACTTACAGCATAAGCCAAGCAATGCCTGTTTTTCAGACCACAGAGAGAAGCTGGCTTGTGAGCTGGGCAGCCTAGGAGGTCTCCATGTGCCAGTCTGACAAGCAGACCAAAGGCCAATATCCTAGAGCTATGTACTGTTGGAGAAATAGATACCAATGAATTTTGGATGAAAGATTGTAATTAAACCATGACCAATTGCAGTTAAGAATTAGAAGGGGAAATTTTTAGGTGCTATCTAGCTAACTGTCCCTAAAGTAGCCTTACCTTACTAAAATACCAAGAAGCTATGGAAATAGATGAAAACTCATTGTGGTCGGGGAGGCTGGGACTGCAATCAGCCTAATTACTGAGTTGGGGAGAGCTTGTTGCTAATGATAGGGCTGGTCGAACTGGCTGGAGAACCAATCGCTAACCTCCTGCAGCTGAGTCTCCATCACACCACTGGGCAGATGGAGCCACTAATTCAGGATCATCTATCTGGCCTCCAGTTATGTTCCTCTGCCCCACCTCCCTTCTACTTTATTCAGTGACTGGGGCTCACCATCTCTATACCCCTCACATTTTGGGCTCAACTCCCCTTCCTCCTTACCCACAGCACATTTACCCCTACTCCTACTCCAAACATGAACTTGATTTCTATCTCACAGAGGAAAAAGAAACCATGACATGGTAACTCCCTCAACTTCATGTATCAAACCCACAAACTCATCCTTCCTTCATTCCTTCCTGTTATGAGTGGGTGCTCTGTCTCCTACATAAGAGGGGGTACCCTATCTCCTGTATAAGCTGAAGACATTTAACATTAATACAGACAAATTAATCAACCTTTTATATTACAAAGAGTGTTTTTACCTTCTTTAAAAAAATCCTTTCCTACCAAGATTCTCCTAAATTGTATTGTAATAGTCCTAATATTTACTTTTTGATATTTAAATCCTTGATCCATGTTGCAATGATTTTTATGTATGTTATCAGGTAAATTCCAGTTTCATATTTTGCTGGATGAAGTCCAGTTTTTTAACCCAGTTCTTTTTCCTGAATGGTCTCTGTCATCACTGGTCTGCTGTGCCACCTCTGTCATGGACCAACGTTACCCATAAGAATGGCAGGACTCTGGCCTCTCCATTTTTTCCACTGGTAATTTTATCTCTCTCTGAACCAGTTCCATATAATAGTTATTTTAATAAGTTCTTCCTCTCTGTTTTTCTTCATAAATGCTTTGGCAATTTTTTTCCCTTTGCTCTTCAGAATTGTGATCATTAAAAAATGTTTTCGTGAGAACAAAAATCTGTTGGGATTTTGAGCGTAATTAAGATGATCAATTTGGGGAGAACTGAGACTTTTATAATATTGTCTTACTATTCACAACCATAATACATTTCTCCATTAATTCAGCTCTTTAAAAAATGTTTAATAAATTTGTCCAATTTTTCTCATAGAGGAAGCTATCCAGATTTTCTAAGGTGAAGGCAAATAAATATTATCAGAAATATTTAGTATCAATTGAGATACTAAAGAAAGCTGAGCTAAGTCTATTCCAGTAAAGCATTTGGCTTCAGGTGGGCATGAAGATAGTTTGGTATTTGGGTTAGGCCCTGCTGGAAAGCAAGCCTATTTTAATTGCTTATAGATATCAGACACATCTGTATCCTCAATTGTTAGACTTTTAAACAGGTATTGCGGAAACTAGTACAAAGAGAATTAATCCTTTTTCTATTAAGCCTGTTGTAATTGTCTTAAGACCTTTCTTGGCTTCAATTTTAGTGGGAGTATTGAGGAAGTTTAAGAAAAGGTTTAGAAGAATCCATCTGAACTCACACAGCTCTGTTCCAATTAGTTTGTTCATGTTCATAGATCTTTGGCCTTTAGGAATTCAGAGATCATGGGCTAATTCTTCACTTGTTTCTTGAATCATACCTAGTGTAGGTATTTTAATATGCTTACCAGCTGTAACTTCTGGGACTTCAAAAAATAATCCTGCAGTGTATTTAGTTGAATGCTTCAAACTTGATCCTTTCCTATTAAATGTGCAGGAGTTGTGTCACAGAGAAGAAAGGAATGTTCTTCTGCTAGTGGTGCCAAGGCAGCAGTCATAGGTTGAGACATGAGAAAGAGCTTAGGGTTGTTAGAAATTCTCACCATTTCAGTGGTTTTGGTATTCTGGGGGAATCTGATGTTCTATGGTAGTGAGATTAATTGGAGATACAGTGACAACCATATAAACAAAAAAACTAATTTTTTTGTACATATGTACATAAGCATGTGTGTGTGTACATACATATATATAATTTCCCTTGGCAGTTTAGATGAAGGAGAGGGAATTGTTGGGTTCCAATGTTTCTCTCAGCTTCAACACCATTGGACAAACTTTGAACAGTAGTTTTGTATCTTAACAAATGTGTGACACTGGTTTTCCCAATAACCCTCCTGCCTCCAATATCTACTGGTGTCCTTATTTTATAGGCTGTTGATTCTCAGAGAAAAAAAAAACAGAGAACTTTTTGTTTTTATTTTTATTTTGAGGACCAGTTGTTTAACTGGGATAGCCAGGAGTTGTTTTCATTTCTAGCTTGTTTACTTTCTAGGGCTTTTTGAAAATGTTAAGCCACATGTTGGAGATCTTCTAAATTGACAATTTCCCATTCCAATGTATTTTTCTAAGTTTCCTATTTCAGACGTGAGTCTACTTACAAAAAGAGAGGACAAGTCTCCTTTTACTTCAGATGCTGGGTCTATCATAGATATTATTTAAAAGTTTCCTGAAGTCTAGTTTTAATGTCACCTGTTTAATCATCTTCATTTTATTTGCAATTTTGATTTGCTGTCCAATCTTCTCTTAAGGGAAAGACTTCAAGAATGGCCACACATAGTTCATTTCTTATTTTTCCTGTGCTCTTAACGCCAATATCTGAATTGCGCACAGTTTAATTATTTCAATTCTCCCTGGCCTTTCTCATCCTGTTACTTTTAACTATTTCCCCCATATGAGGGGCTTGCAATTAAGGAAACTAGTTTGTAAGGATCTGCTAATCTAGGATAGTAAGTAGCTAATAAAATCCTTAATTCACAGAACATTTTTATCTGCCTTCCTGAGGTTTTGGAATTCTTAAGTATAGCCTTTAACTCAACTTAAATTTGACTTCTAGATAAGCCTCTTACGCTAGTAATTTTGAGGAAACTTTTCCTCAGAAAAATCCCATGAAAGGGTAGATCATTTAGGAGGTCAGGAGGAGAAGCTGAAGGAAGAGCAGATGTATAATTTGGTACCTGTGTGCAGGTAATTTGGGATAGAGAGAAAAAGAGGTGTGAGGAGGGTAGGTTTCAGAAGGTTTAAGTGAAAGTGACCTCTTCCTGTTGGCTTTGCCAGAGTCCTTTAGAAAGTTGATCTTAAAGTCAATGTTTTATTTTGAAATTTTAGCTAACTATTAAATATCTGTCTTTGCTAGAGCTCTTCTCAAATGTATTATTATTTTAACACTTTTGTAGACTTTCTGTTTTAGAGCAGTTTAGGCTCACAGCAAAACTGAGAGGAAGGTACAGAAATTTCCCACATACCTCCTTCCCTCTCTAATGAATAGTCCACTCCATTATCAATATGCCTCACCAGAGTGGTATATGTGTTACAATTGATGAGCATCGTGGACATATCATTGTCACCCAAAGACAGTTTGGGGTTCAATCTTGGGCTTGTACATTCTATGGTTTTATAAAAAGCATCATAACATATATGCATCATTATAGTATCATACAAGTAGTTTCACTGCCCTAAAAATTCTCTGTGTTCCACCTTGATATGGTTTGGCTCTGTGTCTCCACCCAAATCTCACCTTGAATTGTAATAATCCCCATGTGTCAAGGGCTGGACCAGATAGAGATAATTGAATAATGGGGACGGTTTCCCCCATACTATTCTTGTGATAGTGAGTGAGTTCTCATGAGAACTGATGGTTTTATAAGGGGTTTCCCCCTTTGCTCAGCTCTCATTCTTCTCCCTGCCACTATGTGAAGAAGGACATGTTGGTTTCCCCTTCTGCCATGACTGTGAGTTTCCTGAGGCCTCCCCAGCAATGTTGAACTGTGAGTCAATTAAACCTCTTTCCTTTACAAATTACCCAGTCTTGGGTATGTCCTTATAGCAGCATGTGGATGGACTAATTTGCACATATTCATCCATCCCTCCTCCCAATCCTTGGCAAACACTGATCTTGATAATGTATTATTTTTAACATGTCAGAAGTTCCCTTAGTTGAGTTGGGTAGAGCATGTGGTTTTGACATTGCCCCTCCCAAGCTCATTTGGGTGGTGGGAAAGGGGATTCAGCCTGAATCTCAGGTGGGGATGGGGGTGAGTGGGTAGAGAGGACAGGGAGGGAAATAGCAGGGAAAGGGTTCCAGCTTCTCTGGACAGGGTGTTCACCAAGATGCTGGACCAGTGGGTCAAGTAGCAGAATGAATTTTTATGATGCGTCAAGCACAAAAAGGCTAAGAAAACTAACAAAAGACTTGTGTTTCATTGTCTTGTTAACATCTATAGAGGTGTCCATGGTCACTGTTATGGTCTTATGGAACTCTTATGGAAAAATCACCAAATACAGATTATCTATTCTTGGGATGCTTTGGGTTGAGGAGAAAAGCTCAGAAAAGCACCATTGGTTCCCCTCTGCCTCAACCTGCTCTCTTCTATTAGGTTTATCTGTGACAGATTTGCCAGAAGTTAGGAAACAAAAAGGTGAGATGGGGGGTTCAAAATTTGTTAAAACAGAGGTCTATTAAATGAATTAATAAATACACATTCACTGAAATGAGGAATGTAACAAAGCTCAAGTCTGCCCATCAACACTGCTCATTCAGTAGATGTGAACATACAATCTCTTTTGATGACCTAGTCCATGGTTAGAAGGCATTATTTAGGAGAAGAGAGTGGTGTTATTTTTTTTAGTATAAAAACTCCTTTACTACCGAGATGCCCTTTAAAGCTTCCATGAAGAAACACCCAGAGCTCCTCACCAATCTGAATGTCCCCCTGTGTCACTGAAAAGGCATAGGCAGGTGAGGAATTTCCCAGAGGACACCACCTATCTGCAGTTCTCCACCTTGGCTGCACAGTAGAATTACCTGGGGAGGGCTAAAAAAATCCCTCTGCCCAGGACACCAATGTGGATCAATCAAATTAGAATCCCTGGGACAGGGTCTGGACATCAGTTTTTATTTTTCAATTTTAATTAAGAAACAGTGTCCAGATTTTTGACATTCAAAATACGGCCCTCAAACCAGAAGTACCAGCATCACTTGGGCATTTGTTAGAAATGTAGATTCTCAGACGTCAGTCCAGACCCATTGAATCAGAAATCAGAAATTATGGTGGTGGGTGCAGGTGGGTCCCAGCAATCTGTCGCTTAAAAATTTTTATTTTTTAAATTATTATGAAATACACATAATATTTATCATTTCTACTATTCATAAATATACCATTCAGTGGCATTAAAGACATTCACAGTGTGGTGCGACCATCACCGCTATCCACACCCAAAACTTTTTCATCATCTGTGACAAAATCTCTGTGCCCATTAAACAATACCCATCCCCCGTTCCTCCTTGCCCCTTTTCCTCACCCTTGGTAACCTCTAGTCTACATTCTGTTTTTACGGATTTGCCTATTCTAGGTACCTCATATAAGTGGAATAATACAATATTTGCCTTTCTGTGTCTGGCTTACTTCACCAAGCGTAATGTTCCCAAGGTTCATTCATATTGTATTGCAGCATATACCAAAATTTCATTCCTTTTTTATGACTGAATAAAAAGCAACCTGTGTTTTAACAACCACTCCAGGTGATTCTGATGCATGCGCAAGTCTGAGAATCACTGACCTAGGAGTAATGCTTCTCACACTTTACTTGTATAAGGAGGCATGGTGGTGCATGCCTGTAATCCCAGCTACTTGGGAGGCTGAGGTGGGAGGATCGCTTGAGCCCAGGAAGTCACGGCTATAGTGAGCTGTGATCACACCACTGCACTCCAGCCTCGCAAGACCTTGTTTCTAAACAAAAATTTACTGTACATAGGAATCTCTTGAGGATCTTGTTAAAATGCAGGCTCTGATTCATTAGCTGGCTTATTAGCTGATTCATTTGTGGAGCCCAAGATTCTGCATTCCTGACAACCTATGCTTGGATAGAGTTGAGAGCCAGCTCTTAAGGCATCACAGCTGTGCCCAGCTCACCCTCAAATGACACAACTGAGGTTCAATCTCATCATAGGATGGAATGAAGTCTAGACTGGTGTCTGTTTCTGCCTTATGGACCAGAAGACAAGGACCTTGAGCCCTCATGTTCTCTGACTCAACCTCCTGGGCTGGGAGATGGCCACGAGCCTTGCTGGGTTGGGGAAGGCTGGAATCTGGGAACTTTGTAGGAAGCTCAGGGTTAATTACTACACTGTAAATGACAGTCTGATGGATCTGCAGTCACTGCCTTGAGACTTCCTGCCAGCTTCTGAAATATGTGGCTGGGAAAGAGCCCAGCAGCGCTGAAAGGAAGAGAGGAGAGGTGAGGCTGGCTGAGTCCTGGGAAATGAGGTGTCAGGGTTGGAGTGGGTCCCAGGAGGCCCCGGGGACAGGCTGGGGCAAGCTTGTGGCATCACAACAGGGGTTCCTGAGTTGGGTGGCAGGGCCAGCTCTTCTGGCTTCTTTCCCGATTGATTGAGTCTGATGTGGCACAGGGAGCAGGGAGTGAGGGAAGCCGGATGGGCTCCAGGAGCACTGGATTGAAATGATGCCAGATTTGTATTTTCAAAGCAACAGTAATTGCCTCTGCATGAATCCAACCCCAGAATATCCTCTACTCATGACTCTTCAACCTAGAGATATTCCCACAGAAGAAATCACTGCCGACCACCACCAGCTGTTCCAGTTGGACCTGTCCATCCCGGATGACACAAGCCATCAATTTTGTGTGGTCTTGGAGTTAGAAACAAAATAATTGGGCTTAATGCTTTAGAATTTTATCAGTTTTGTGAGTAGAGCTGCTGCTGCATAGGAGAGCAAAGGAGTGAGGTGCGCGATATGGAAATTATGGTTCATTCATGTGATGAAACCCATTGGGACCATTGGAAATGTAGTTTAAAAGAATTTTTAATGACATTGCAAATACCTTCATGATTACGAAGGAAAAGTCTCAAATAACATACAGTTGTCTTTCAGTTTCCTCAGGGAATTGGTTCCAGGACCCCTGCAGATACCAAAATCCACAGGTGCTCAAGTCCCTGATATAAAATGGTGTAGTATTTGCCTATAGCTTATACAATCCTCCTGTATACTTTAAATCATCTCTAGATTACTTATAATACCTAACACAATGTAAATGTGATGGAAATAGTTGTTAGGCTGTATTGTTTTAAAATTTTTGTTGTATTATTTTTTATTGTTTTCCCCAATTATTTTCTATTTGAGGTTAGTTGAATCCATGGAAGTGGAACCCATGGGTCTGGAGGGCTGACTGTGTATGCATATATATAGATATATGTATGGATGTGTACATATATATGTTCTTTGGATAAATTTTAGGCAATACACGTGATATGGTTTGGCTGTGTCCCCACCAAATCTCAACTTGAATTGTATCTCCCAGAATCCTCAAGTGTTGTGGGAGCGACCCAGTAGGAGGTAATTAAATCATGGGGACCCATCTTTCTCATGGTATTCTCATGATAATGAGTAAGTCTCATGAGATCTCATGGGTTTATCAGGGGTTTCTGCTTTTGCTTCTTCCTCATTTTTCTCTTGCCGCCACCATGTAAGAAGTGCCTTTCGCCTCCAATCATGATTCTGAGGCCTCCCCAGCCATATGGAACTGTAAGTCCAATTAAACCTCTTTTTGTTCCCAGTTTCAGGTATGTCTTTATCAGCAGTGTGAAAATGAACTAATACAACACATATGTAAAGATAGAAAATATGCTAAAAATAACAAAGGCTATCATTGACTGGTAAGAAAGCAATGGGTTTTTATTTTCCTATTGTGTTTGTATTTTCTGTACCTTTTATAATAATCATATTGTATTTACTAACCAAAAAAAAGTTTAAAAAACCACTATATTGTAGGGGAATGACCAACAATAGAAAGATATGCATTTTCACTTGTTTTTAATCATAGAAAACATCAGACTGTTTTAGCATATGATATTATTTCCAATAGTCAATTGTCACCCAAACTCTCAGAAGGCTCTCCATCTCAGACAGAAAGCCACAGTCATGGACAGAGCCTTGAAGGCCCTTCTGACTTTTCCATGCCTCCCCTTTCCCTTGCCCTAGCCAGATCTTGATCTGCATAAAGCACACTGGGCACTCTCCTGCCTCAGGGCCTTGGCACTGGCTGTGCCCTTGGCTAGCAGTGCCACCCCAAGACGTCGGCTGGGCTGGAAACCTTCACTTCCTTCAAGCCTTTCCTCTGAATGACCATTTCAGTATAGCCTTTTCTAGAGATGCTGCTTGAAATCCCCCAACCCCTATAACATTTTTTTTTTGAGCCAGAGTCTCATTCTGTCACCCAGGCTGGAGTGTAGTGGCATGATCTTGGCTCACTGCAACCTCTGCCATATGGGTTCAAGCGATTTCTCCTGCCTCAACCTCCCGAGTAGCTGGAATTACAGGCATGTGCCACCATGCCCTGCTAATTTTTGTATTTTGAGTAGAGACAAAGTTTCACCATGTTGGCCAGGCTAGTCTCAAACTCCTGACCTCAGGTGATCCGCCCACCTCAGCCTCCCAAAGTGCTAGGATTACGGGTGTGAGCCACTGCGCCCAGCCCCCTATAACATTTTATATTTTCCTCCTGCTTTTGTTTTTCTCATTAGCATGTGTCACTATTTAATATTCAATATGTTTTATTTCTCTATTTCCTTATTGCCTTTCCTGTGCATTATCATGTGAACCCCACTGGATCAGATATTTTTGTCTCTGATTTCATCCCTAATGCTCCAGAACATTCTACAACAATGCCTGGCACTGACTCTTGAAAATCAGTTGCTGAATGAATGAATGACAAAACAGAGGATGCTATTTTTTTTACCTACAAAATCATAAGGAATAGAAAGCTTGTAAATATATCCCAATTCTACTAACAAATCAAATTGAAACCACTCACAGCCAAGGCACTTACTGCCACTTAAGGATACTATCCCATAGTCGCTTCTGCTATTTCAGTGGTTTATAGATTTAATTTTCAGGAAAGCGGAATATACACAGCAGTGCCAGGAATATCACATTATTTGGCAGGTATGCACAAAAGAAAAGGCAGCTTGGTTTTGGAATGACATTATGGCGTGATAGTTGGGAGTAGATAATGACTTCCTGGAAACCAGTCTAAAGAAAGCTATAAATATCAGTGAAGCATTGATTCGTTTAACATGTATTCATTAAGCATCTATTATGTGATGGAACCTAGGTACACCTAGTGAACAAGACCTCACTCTTCCCTGCTGCAGTTGTCAGTCTAGCAGGGGATCCAGGTAAGTAAACCAAAATAATGAGAAGAGATTATGAAAGCAGAGGAGGGACAACTAACCCAGACTTGGGATGGGAGGGCCGAGAATGTTTCCTGGTGGAGGTAACATTTGAGAAGGAGGAAAATGAATATGTCAGGTACAAAAGGGTTGGGTGGTTGTGTGGGTAAAGAAAGGGCTGAACAAGACAGAAGTGCTCCTGGAAGGGCCTGGAGGGAGCAAGGTTCTTCTGAGGAGCTGAAAAGCCAATATAGTTTGAGCGAGAACTATAACCATCCATGTGTCCTGAATCCAATCACTTCTCATCACCTGCAGTCACCCTAATGCAGGCCACCATCGTCTCTAACAGGACTAGTGCAGCATCCTCCTAACAGCATCTATGCTTTATCTTATTATCACTGAGACAGACAAATGCAGCCCCTGACAGCTGGGAGCTGGTCTGGCACTGCCAGAGGGCTGTGGTGTCTTTACGACCTGGCCGGGTGCTCACAGCTGGGCCTTTGGCATTCTTTCATCCAACATAAAATGTCATAAAACCCCAACATCAAGCAAGGCCACTCTGTGACCCTGATGGATGAAGGCAAAAACAGGACCACTATGTAATCATGTCTGGACAGAGACAAAAATGTAAACATTGTCCAAATCACAAGATGACCAAACAGCCTTCCATTCTATCATGAGTTACTGTTTGACCAATCACAGTTTTAGCCTCATTCTGTTCCTGTCATCTTAAGATAAGATTTATTAAGAAATTGAATCACAGAGTTACTCCTGCTTTCTGACAGCATCTAATCCAGAGCAAGTCCCACTTCCTTGAATCTTCTAAGCACAATCATCTAACACAAGCCCAAATCCTGTAATTTCGAATACCCTCTTACTGGGATATCCTGCAGTTCCCCATGACTGCAGTGAATCGATAAACCCAACTTGTTTAACCACAGGTGTGTTCCTGGTGGTCTTGGGCTGGAGAACACTGACAATTTATAAACCAGGTTAAGACACTCTTCTACCCAAAATCCTTCAATGGCTTCCCATGGCTCTCAGAGTCAAAATCAAACTCCTTTCCAATACTTAATTCATTTGGCTCTTCCAACCTCTCAAACCTCATTCATTTCCTCCACAGATTTTTATGAGGATGTACCATGTGCTGGAAATCTTTCTGGACACAGGTGCATCACAGACTGTTATGTGAAGAATGGATTGGAGAAAGAAGCTGGGGCAGGAAATAGAATCACCAGGTACGAGACTCTCTTTGTCCAGTGACACAACTAGACTGGAATCAGGGAGAAATAAGAGTAAAAAATAATGTCATATTTATAGTTTGGGTAACAAGGGTCAAGAAGGTGTGGCTTGCTGGGAGAGGAATGCGTCAAGTATGCTAAGAAAGGTTTTAGAAAGGGCTGTACTGGAGAGCATCTCATTTGCTAAAAAGGGCTCTTCCTCAAATATCTTCAGAAGGGGGCCTCACCAGAGCCCAAAGGACTGCAGGATTTCTTTGCCTTTGGCCTGTGGGCTGGTGCCTCTTGCTGCAAGAAACTGTTTGAATAATGTACCTATTGCAGGTTTTAGTTTATATGTGTAAGGGAGACATATTTCAGTGGAGTCAGTAACTTATTTCTTATGACCTTCTGGGCTTAAATAAAATGATGATTGGAGTAATTCAGGGTCCATGAAGTAGTGCAAAAACAGCTGCCATCTGCCGTCACTCTCATTGGTAACTCATTTCCTTTTTATAATGGGCTTCCACATATATGAATTAAATTAGAATGTGCTGCTCATGTTCAGAGGAACCCGTAAATGACTTGCTTTTGTGTTACAATTCTCAGAAGTAAATTATTCAGCATTCATTGCTTGTAGGGTTTAAAGAGAAACTAAATTTATTTTGGTTCCTCCACCCTTCATTTTAGGGCACGCTTTAAGGATCCCATCACAGAGACTTGTCAGAATTGACTAATTGCGTGTTTTGCATATTTATAACACTTTGTTGTTTATTAATGGCCCATTTCAGAAATAAAATTAGCACTTTATTCACATCACCACCGTTTCTCAAAGGCGCTCCGACTCCTGTCTGCTGATTGAGATTGGAGTGTACATAATGACAACACAGGTGATTGTCTTCCTAGTGCATCCCAGCGAGGGGCAAGAGCTGCCTGGACTCAATTTATCAGACTGGCTCTCTAGAGCTGCACTGTCCAAACAGTTTAGTAAAATTTAAGTTAATTAAAAAGTCAAATGAAAAATCCGATCCCTCATACTGGCCACATCTCAAGCACTCAGTTGCCAGATGTGGCCTGTGGCTACCATATTTGAGAGTGCAGAGCATTTCCGTCATTGCAGAAAATTCTGTGGGGCAGGGCTACTCTGGACTGTGTGGATGCTGGGGTCCTTTTGTGGCTCTCTGGATTGATAGAATTGGGTCCTTGTAAATAGATTGGCCAGAAAGGGTGAGGGGTAAGGCGCGCCTGGCCCTATTGCAAACCCTGAATATATGCAGGATTCAATTACTTGCTACCATTTACCACCTGGTCCTATTACTATTGTGAACCCTGAAAATTTCAGGTGGGTCTCAGTTAATTTAGAAAGTTTATTTTGCCAAAGTTGAGAATGCACACCCATGACGCAGCCTCAGGAGGTCCTGATGACATGTGTCCAAGGTGGTCAGAGCACAGCTTGGTTTTATACATTTTAGGGAGATATGAGGCATCAATCAACATATGTAAAGTGAACATTGGTTTGGTCTGGAAAGGTGGAACAACTGAAAGTAAAAGCAAGACAACTCGAAGTGGGGCGGGGGGGACTTCCAGGTCACAGGTAGGTGAGAGAAAATTTGGGCAAAGGAGAGTTTCTGATTAGCTTTTCCAAAGAAGGCAATCAGATACACATTTATCTCAGTGGGCAAAGGGATGACTTTGAATAGAATGGAGGCAGGTTTTCCCTAAGCAGTTCCCAGCTTGAATTTTCCCTTTAGCTTAGTGATTTTGGGGGCCCAAGATATTTTCCTTTCACACTATCCCCTCCTACCTGGATTTACTGCAAGGGCCTTCTAACTGGTCTTCCAGCTTCCATCCTTGGCTCTTACAATCTCTTGTCCACATAGCCAGAGTGATCCTGCTCAGAACCTTCCAGTGGCATTGAGTCTTGCTTGGAGTGAAAGCCAGAGTCCTTTCATGACCTTCAGGCCCTGTGTGTCTGACTTTCCACTCCCGCTGACTTGTTGATACGGTTTGGCTCTATGTCCCTACCCAAATCTCATCTAGTAACTCCCATAATTCCCACGTACTGTGGGAGGGACCCAGTGGGAGATGATTGAATCATGGTGGTGGGTCTTTCCCATGCTGTTCTCATGATAGTGAATAAGTCTCATGAGATCTGATGATTTTAAAAAGTGGGAGTCTCTCTGCACAAGCTCTCTCCTTGCCTGCTGTCATCCATGTAAGATGTGACTTGCTCCTCCTTGTCTTCTGCCATGATTTGTGAAGCCTCCCCAGCCATGTGGAACTGTAAGTCCGATAAACCTCTTTCTTTTGTAAATTGCCCAGTCTCAGGTATATCTTTATCAACAGTGTGAGAACAGACTAATACATTTGTCTCTTGCTGCACCCCATAGTTTTCTCTGCACCAGCCACATTGGTCTCCAGGCATGTTCCCCTTTGCACTGGCTGTCTCCTTTGCCCAAAACATTCTGCTCCCAGCTGTCTGTATGTCTTGTTCCTTCACTTCCTTCAGGTCTTTGCTCAAAAGCCTTCCCTGACTACCCTATCTAAAATCCCAGCCCTTCCTCAACAACATCCTACCCATTCCAAGCTTCCCTGACCCTTGGCAGTATCTGTGTACCACATGTTTTACTTATCAGTGTTGTTTATTTTCCAATTGCTTCACTAGAATGTAAACCTTACTGGGCAGGTTTTTGTCTGTTTTGCTTACTGTTTTATCTAGTGCTTAGAACAGTGCCTGATACATGGTGGGTGTATTAGTCTGTTCTCACACTCCTATGAAGAAACACCTGAGACTGGGTAATTTATGAAGGAAACAGGTTTAATTGACTCACAGTTCTGCATGGCTGGTGAAGTCTCAGGAAACTTACAATCATGGCGGAAGGGGAAGCAAACATGTCCTTCTTCACAAGGCAGCAGGAGAGAGAAGTGGAGAGTGAGGGGGGAGCCCTTATAAAACCATCAGATCCCATGAGAACTGACCCACTCATGAGAACAGCATGGGGGTAACCACCCCCATGATTCAATTACCTTCCACGGGGTCCCTCCCGTGACGTGGGGATTATGGGAACTACAATTCAAGATGAGATTTGGGTGGGCACACAGCCAAACCATATCAGTGAGTGTGAATAAATATGGAATGAATGAATCGATTTTGCAACTTAACTTCCTCCATAGGAAAGAAGAGGAAATGAGGTGAATGAAGAGGCATAATACGGATTTGAGAATGTGAGCCTCTGCCTCCTTCTAGAGACTTTAGGCAAGTCACTTAATTTCTTTGAGCTTGCTTCCTCATCTGTAAAATGAAAATTATAATACCTGCCTTGAAGGATTGTCGTTAGGATTAATTAGGGTGTCCCTGGCACATAGTCTGCACACAATAATGTTAATTCAGGAGCTGTGAAATTTGGCCCAGGGATCTTCTCCACTTATGGCTGTCTGTGTGAAAACCATATCCATGTTTCTCTCACTGAGCATTTTTAAATGTCATGTTTTTAGTTTAATAGTAAAATATTATAGATACAAATTTTGGAACATCTGGATGATGACCTTGTAACTACGTTGGGCTATGAGTTTTGAGAGCTCATCTTTACAATGTTTTTTCGCATGTGAAAGCCAGCAATCAATGTTGATAGTCTATGAATAAAAGTTTTACAGAAATTCACTAGAGAAAAGTAGTGGAAGGAACAAGTCATGTTGTATAACATTGGTGGCATAAGCCTGCTGAGCTCAGAAAGAACCTGCACTATAATAGACAGACTCATGCACATTTCAAGAGGGAATTTGGTTTCAGCCAAATAATGCAGTCTGTATGGTCCATCATGTTGAGTTAATGTTATTTTGAATTTTATTGCGCTTCTGTAAGAGTCCTTTGCATGCAGAGTTTATACCTGGTTTGATGTTTGTAATATTTAGGAGTGTAACAGAGTTCCACCAGAAAAACAGAAACCATTCTAAATATTTAGGAAAAAAAAAGGCAATTCAACACTAGGAAGTGGTTACACAGGTGGTGAGATTGCTGATGGCGAGACACTCAGGAGACTGCCAATAGGAGGAAGCCACCTCACCCCTAGGCTGGAGGGACAAACACAAAGCCCGGAAGCTGGGGTCATAATGAAGGGCCTGTCTGGGAGAGCTAGAGCCTTGCAGGAGATGTAGCTGTCTCCAGAGGAACTGCCTGAGGCTGGCAGAGATGGGGAGAAATACTCCAGCTTCTCCCATCCCCCTGCTCTCCACTTCTTTAATAATGCCTCCATTGGCTTAATCCAGCAGAAGCCAGCCGATGTGAAGACTGGGAAATGCAGCCTGCAGGGATCAGACCCTCTCTGCTGCACACATGTGTGCATGCACACACATTCACACATACACAACACCCTGGTGATACAGAACAGAGCAGAGACAGGCTGAAGAATGCACCTGTGTGCAGACTCACCAAAGTCCAGTACATGGTGATTACATAGACAGGTGGTTGGTCCTCCAACATCCATATTTCTCCATCCAACTCTGTAGCAGCTGCTTGGTTGGGTGGGCATGGCACACCTCCAGCTGCAGGGATAGGCTATGATTGGCTTAGATGCCTAGACCAAGCAGGGGGACCCTGCTCCTCCTTGCCATAGTGATTGGTTATGTAAGTGTTGGCCTAAGATGATCACCTCCAGACATTGCTCAGCCCTCAGTGACTGGTTTAGGGGTAGGCAACAGGGTTCTGCCTCATGGATATGAGCAAAAACAAGCCCAGAGCCCCCTAGTGCTCCTAGCAGCCATTGTGTGGCAGGGACAGGACAAGCTGGAAAGGGGAGCACGGTGCTGAGTCACAGAAAAGGGAGCTAAAAACTTATCTGCACCGTCCTGATAGCTAATACATCCCAGGGGTGCTCATTTGTTTGAACCCGAATATCCTGCCCCTCTTTTTTTCAAGCCAGTGTTGAGTTTTTGATTGCAACTAACACAATAATAAAAATAGGTCAACACTAGGGGAGTCCAAAAGAAAAAAAATGCATTTCAAAGGGGACACATATATTATTCAAGCTCGAGAAACACTAATAACTCCTCCACAGCTCCACATCTTGTTTCCCCACTAAGGATGACCGCAAATACTGCACAAAGCATGGGACGTATTTCCTGGAGTCCTTTGGAGGCCAAGCTGAGGAGCTTGTGAGGCTTCTGCAGCAGCTCCAAGAGGCACCCCTGCTTTCAAACCAGAAGTAGACATATGTTTGGTGAAGTGAGAGCCTTCTGGAAAGCTGTGGGTGGACACAGCAAAATGCATGCAGAGTCTGGGCTCTACTTTAGTAATATGGGCCAAAACTGGGGCCAAAACAAGTGGAAAATGAGTTTCTGCTACCATGTGGCCATTCTCTTTTTAGGTGAAGAAATCAATCGCTCAGAACAGGTTAAAGAAACTGACTTAATAGCGGGTGAAGCTGATGTTAAATCTACTGGCTAGAATGTCAGCCCTGAAATTCCTAAAAAGAAAAGTCCTGTTGAAACAACTCCCTCGTACCACGCAAAGCAATATGTCCTGTAATTCCTGGTGGAAACCGCTAGGCTCAGCAAGAGATTAGGGAAGGCGAGTGGGTCTAAGCATTTCTGAAGCTTCTTTCCTCTGTTGGTGTTTGGTGGTAAAGGATTCTAAACTCTGAAGATTCTGAATAGTGTCCTTTGGATTTCTGCAGACTGATCAGCCTGCGTCCTTTGTCTCCTCCTGAGTTAACTTGTGGCCAGAGGTCAACATGGTGCAGGAGAAGTTAGAGTGCACACTCCCCAGTCCCTCTGATCCTCTAAGGCTTGTCTGCCAGTGAGAATGGAGGATGTGTGTTAGAATCACTGCTACAGACTGGACAGGCTGGACTACTGCTAAGAGTTGCTATTTCTGAATCCTTAAAGGGTTGGCATGACCCAGCTGGGTTTCACTTCAGTCCCTTCAGAAGAGTAGGCACAAGTGTTCCACTCTTCCCTGATCGGGGTGCTGGGAGTTTTCTTGGGAGCAGAGACTGAAGTTTGGCAGGACAGGGGAGCAGAGAGGTGAGGCTGATGTTTCCCTGGTGCAGGCACTGTGGGGAGAGTTTTTCATGGAGTACCTTCAGTGTTAGCCTCAGAGATTTGGGGTCTCCTGGACTTTATGGTAGTGAATTTGCCTTTGACCTGTCCAGAGCACTTTCCACTGGGAAGTTTTGCATTTGGAGCTATCTCTGAAACCTCCATCATCCCACAACATTTGATTTTTGTCGTTCAGGGAGCGATTTTAGGGCAACCTGGTTGATGCTTCCATTAGATGTGGTATCAGCTAGACTTAGTTTTCTTCTTTCTGGTGGTGGTGGGCACAGCAGGTAAACTGGGGATGTGACTGGGAAAAGGATACAGGACTTTTACAGGACTTCCAAGCAGCAAAGTTTTCAGTCTCTTCTTTGGCTCCGTGTCTGAGTTCCCAACACATTGTCCTGGTGTTTCTGCTTGGATTCTCAAACAATTCCTTAGTCTCTCTTTGAGCATGGAGTCATCTCATTTCTGAGGCTTAGGAAAAATTTATTGACTATATGAAGGGCTTTTCAGAAGGTCTCAGATAACAGGGGGATATCTTAATCTGCTCACTTCACACAGACTGACCAGTACTCTTCACATCATTCCGAATGAGGTTTTGAACTGACCATGATAACCAGCAACTCAGTCATGATGTGGGGATGGTCAGTACTTGATTGTCACTGGAGGCACTGGAGGCAAGAGCCTTCAGGTTGTGCTGCTACCACATCAGGAGAGACAGACTTTCCGTTCTGTGGTATGGTTACTTCAGTAAAACTGTGCAGTGTGATAATATTTCTGAACTCCCAAGCTTTATGTTTTTTACCCTCCTTGTATCTCTTCTTAACTCTTTCCACCACTGAGGTGGCCAGACCTTTCTGGGTCTTTTGCCCCAGGGGTGTGGACAGGGTTTAAAGCCAGATAAAGAGGAACTCCCTGGATTTTAGCCTCCCAAAGCTGAAGCCCATAGTGAAAGCCTGCTAGTGAACAAAGCGTTTTGGAGGAAGATAAGAAAGAGTAAGGCTTATCCTACCTAGTCTAGAGAATATGTGGTTGGGCTCAGGGAAGGAAGGAGAGATGAAGGGAAATCCAGATTGTCTAGGGATCCTGCTCCTGTGCCCTTCTTCCTGCTGAGGAAGCAGTATGTTAGCCAGTTCTCGCATTGCTATAAAGAAATAACCTGAGACTGGGTGATGTATAAAGAAAAGAGGTTTAATTGGCTCATTGTTCCATGGGCTGTACAAGAAGCATGGAAGCACCTGCTTAGAAATTTCTTTGGCCAGACACCCTAAATCATTTTTCTCAAGTTCAAAGTTTCACAAATCTCTAGGGCAGGGGCAAAATGCCACCAGTCTCTTCGCTAAAACATAACAGAAGTCACCTTTGCTTTAGCTCCCAACAAGTTCCTTATTTCCATCTGAGACCACCACAGCCTGGACCTTATTGTCCATATCACTATCAGCATTTTTGTCAAAGCCATCCAACAAGTCTCTAGGAAGCTCCAAATTTTCCCACGTTTTCCTTTCTTCTTCTGAGCCTTCCAAAGTGTTCCAAACTTCTGCCTGTTACTCAGTTCCAAAGTCACTTACACATTTTCGGGTATCTTTTCTTCAATGCCACTCTTTACTGGTACTAACTTAATGTATTAGTTCATTTTCACTCTGCTGATAAAGACATACTGGGCAATTTACAAAAGAAAGAGAGGTTTAATGGACTTACAGTTCCATGTGGCTGGGGAGGTCTAACAATCATGACAGAAGGCAAGGAGGAGCAAGTCACTTCTTACATGGATGGCAGCATGCAAAGAGAGAGAGAGAGTTTGTGTAGGGGAACTCCTCTTTTTAAAACCATCAGATCTCGTGAGACTTATTCACTGTCATGAGAACAGCATGGGAAAGATCCACCCCCATGATTCAATTACCTCCCACTGGTCCCTCCCACAACACATGGAAATTCAAGATGAGATTTGGTTGGGGACACAGCCAAACCATATCACCCATTCATAAGAAACCATCCCTGTGATCTAATCACCTCCCATCACGTCCCACCTCCAACATTGGGGATTAAAATTCAACATGAGATTTGGGTGAGGACACAAGTCCAAACTATAACAGCCAGAGAGGTTGGAGGGGGAATGGTTGCACAGAGCCCATGAAGATATGCAGCTTTAGGGAGATGTCCATGCTCCACTGGCACAGGGAGGACCAGAGGGATTCCAGTGCTCCCAAACTTGGCTTGAAAGGAGTACAGAAAGTTGCAGGGCCAACAGCATTAGATACCAGCAAGAGGGGTGTATCCATGAGCACTTGGAAGGACAGATGTCTGAGAGACAGACAGAATGTAGCATGAATCAGGGATGTTTGTAGGAACAAATGACTTAGGTTGATAGCAAGGACTTCTCTTCTTTTCCCTCTGTTTTGCCACCCACCCATCAGGTACCTTGCCCAGGAGTCCCATAGAATGTTGAGTCTACACTGCCCAAAGCCAAAGCTAGGGATACCCTCAAATGGCGTTGAACCTGGGCTACCTCAGCTGCTAGTATAGTTCCATGTGGTTGTGGAAACTTCATAAAAATGCCTCTTATGGGTGGTCAAGTGCCAAGATGATGCATTTCCCTGGGCTGATTCAGCCCTATGTTCAGTGTGTGGCTTACCATGAAGGGCACAGGCTGAATTTCAGCTCCTACAGAAGCTCTCAGCTGAACAGGGCTTAACCTGTGCAGCCAAATGTGGAGGCCCTGTTTAGACTGAGGTTCAAACCCTCCAGGTGACTTTAGATCACCTATAGCTGTGTAGAAACAAGCTTTTCTCACCCAATAAGAGAGAGAAATTCAGTGATGTGTTAGCAGTACCCTGGGCTAGACATCAGAAGATTCACTTCTGGGAAATGCCATTTGTTCTCCATGTGAATCAGCATTGAAACTTGGAACCTCAGTTTCCTCATATGTTAAATGGAGGAGAAGAGCTCCTGCTTTTCCTTGCACAGCTGTAGTTTGGGTCAAATTCAGAGATATCCAGGAGGCTGTTTCGGGAGTGATGACTAGGGCTGAGCCACTAAAGTTCAAGAAGTCATGGAAGGAGGTGAGATGATGGTGTGAGTCCTTTTTTTTTTTTAAGGGGTCTTGCTCTGTTGCCCAGGCTGGAGTGCAGTGGCGTGATCTCGGCTCACTGCAACCTCCACCTCCCAGGTTCAAGTGATTCTCCTGCCGCAGCCTCATTTTTCGTATTTTTAATAGAGATGGGGTTTTGCTATGTTGGCCAGGCTGGTCTCAAACTCCTAACCTCAAGTGATCTGCCTGCCTTGGCCTCCTAAAGTGCTGGGATTATAGGTGTGAGCCACTGCGCCCAGCCAGTATGAGCACTTTTGAGCAAGATGTAAAGGTCAGGGGCCAAGGAACCTGTTTTTGTGGTAGGCTGAGTCTGCAGTTGGAGAGCAAGTGCAGGAGGAGGGGCCCTGGGCTGCACAGTGACCCAGGAGCTGGCCCAGGAGGGGCCTACAGGGTGTCCTTCAGAGCACTGTGAGTGGGAGGTAAGATTTTGCTGGGGCAGATGAAGTCTGGGTCCACCACCATTTGGTATAAATGGGCCCAATTTGGGCCGTGTGGCTTGCCACATGCAACTCTAATGTTAGAGAGCTGAGTCAGGAGCCTGACTGTGGCAGTCCAGGTCCAATCAGGAGACAGAAACTACACAGCAGATCAAAGAGAGAAAGTCTAATATAAAGAATGGTTATGACAAAGGAGTAACTTATAAGCAAATTTGTCACGGCTCCCTGTGACTAAGGGCGCCTACCCGAGGAAGGAAAAACTTGCTAGGGGTTAGGACTTCAGAGGTGAAGGAGTGGGAAGCAATGGAGTCTTCTTGTTTGGTCTGGAGTTGCTGGATAAGAAACGGGCCTCCGTCTGAAGTGCAGAGAAGGGAGCAGCAGTGGCTGGGTGTGCACACAGAGACCAGGCACTAGTGGGCTGGAACTTTTGGAACATGTGACCCACGCATGGGCTTTGGTTTCCATGTTAAGGGGGCTGCAGAAAAGTGATCGTCCATCCAGCAAGGCTGCAGAGTCACAGAGGGACTTCAGGTGGGTGGAAGAGTGGGGAGAGGCAAGGACACAAGTTCACCAGATGCCCTCACACCACCTCCAGCTGGTACTGGAAACAGCAGGAGAGCCAGTTTCTCCTGCAGTGCTCCCTGCTGAGGAGGCTGACCTCATGTTTACTATAAAAAACACCATGTACCTGGCACTCACCCAGGCTAAGTTCCACTAGCTGCCTGCCTGGCTGTTTTATAAAACCCTAAATGAAACAATCTTTAAAAAATGATGAGCTATCTCTTTCAGGTTACAATTTATTTTATATAATTTTGTTATTTTAGAAAAACATCCCAAGGTAATGTAAATCAGTCCAACCATTGTGGAAGACAGTGTGGCAATTCCTCAAAGATCTAGAAGCAGAAGTACCATTTGACCCAGCAATCCCATTACTGGCTACATATCCAAAGGAATATAAATCATTCTATTACAAAGATAAATGCATGCATATCTTTGCAGTGGTATTCATAGTAGCAAAGATATAGAATCAAACCAAATGCCCATCAGCGATAGACTGGATAAAGAAAATGTGGCACATATATACCATGGAATACTATGCAGCCATAAAAAAGAACAAGATCATGTCCTTTTCAGGGACAAGGATGGAGCTGGAAGCTGTCATCCTCAGCAAACTAACACAGGAACAGAAAACCAAATACCACATGTTCTCACTTATAAGTGGAGCTGAACGATGAGAACACATGAGTGCATGGCGGGGGGAACAACACACACTGTGGCCTGTTGGGGGTGGGGTTGGCAGAAGTTAGAGCATCAGGAAGAATAGCTAATGCATGCTGGGCTTAATACCTAGATGATGGGTTGATCTGTGCAGCAAACCACAATAGCACATGTTTACCTACGTAACAAACTTGCATATCCTACACATGTACCCAGGAATTTAAAATAAAAGTTGAAGAAAAAAATTAAATTAAAAATTCTTAAAAAAAATTCTCAAGGTTACATATGCACACACATATACATAAATTGACCAGAAAAAAGCGTGACAGTATAGGTTAAGGGAGCAAACTAGACCACAGACTATTATGATCCAAACTTTGTTCAACATAAGTCATTGTCAGTATATACATATAGCCAAATACCTGGAAAGATGCATAAAGAAATGTTGACCTGTTTTTTCTCTAGTAGTGTGGATAATTTGTTATTCTTTGAGCTCATCTGTGTTTTCCAATTTTCTACAATAAACTTGGTTTACTTGTGCATTAAAAATAGAAGAAAGAAGAAAGAGAGAAAGAGAAAGGAAGGAATGAAGGGAGGAAGGAAGGAAAGAATGAAGAAAGAAAGGAAGAAAGAAAGAAAGGAAGGAAGGAAGGGAGGAAGGATGGGAGGAAGGAAGGAAAGAATGAAGAAAGAAAGGAAGAAAGAAAGAAAAGAAGGAAGAAAGAAAAGAAGGAAAGAAAGAAGAAAGGAAGGAAGGGGAAGAAGGAAGGAAGGAGGGATGGAGGGAAAAAGGAAGGAAGGGCAGGAGGAAAGGGAGGGAGGAAGAGAGGGAGGAAGAAAGAAAAGGAAGGAAGGAAATAAGAAAGGCAAGGAAGGAAGGAAGGAAAGGGAGGAAAGAAGGGGGAAGGAAGGGAGGAAGGAAAGGCAGGGGGAAGGAGAACGACCTTGAGCTAACCCGGACAAAATGAAATGTGAAGATGTACAGAAGTGCTCAGCGTGGGTGAGCAACTAACACATCTTAGTTCCCCCGGGACCTTTGCTTTGCCAGGTGGAGTGAGAGCTGCCACATTCTCCTTCTTAGGCTCTGCCACCTGTGACCTCAGAGGCATGTTCTGGCCCTCAAGCTGCTTTTTGAGGATAGCTGTGGCCTTGGACGATCCTAAAGCTGCAAAACCATTCAGCAGCTGGGTGGACGGGAGGTCAGAACTCAGTTTGTTTGGCCTGGCTAAGTAGGTTATACTTTTATTAGACATTAACCTAGAAAAAAGCCGCAACCTGGGGAAAGATTTCTATTTAGAGCCAGGAAACTAGGCCACTTCTAAGATCAGTGACCTACATTTTCTGCTATAGAAATTTAAGATGAAATAGCGGTTGTTGCCATGCATGTGGGCGCTGAAACTCCATCAAAGGGCAGGGAGACAAGAAGGGGAGGAAGAAAGGGAGGCAGGCAGGGAATTTTAAAGAGCCGCCGTATTTGAAATCTTTTAAAACCAAGCCAACAATATTTAATAATGGAAGAAAAATGAGTATCCCAGCTGTGTATTTGTTTTCCTGGAAGAGCAATGTCTGCTAACTGGTAGCTCCTTCAGCAGGTAAAAAATCCATTTTATTCTGAGGCCTGTTAAAAAATGACATCTCCCCCAGGCCCCTGCCAGCCGTCCACAAAGACAAATCTTGGTGTCTCACGCTGGCTGCCAGCTGTCTGCTTTTTGTTATAGACTTCTGAGAAACTGTTTGCTTGATCTCATTGATCTGGGCTCTTTAGACTGGACCCTGTGGAGCCTCTAAGGTTAATGGGCTCTTGGGGCCTGAATTCCCATGAATCTTGGTGGTTGGGGGGAGTGGTTGTCTAGAAAAAGAAAAACAAAATGACAATAATGTATAGTGCTTTCTTATAATCCATAGCAGCCACATTGTGGAGTTGGATGGGTCAGGACCAACATTTAGGTTGTAACAACCAGATAGAAGGCTCCCAGGCCTGTGATCATTTCATTCTTCTTCAATTCATACTGGATTCTCTGTGATGTTTGTAATGTGGACACAAAGAGACCATTGCACCCATATCTGTGGTAGAATTTCTAATATTCCCCAATATCTAGCTCTCCTCTAATTCTGGTTCATCGAGCCTTGGAATTTCCCATGTCAGTGGTTCCGGTCATTGTATGCAGCAGAAGTAACTTGACAGGCATAGCATTAAATGCTGATGCTGGGTCCCTTAGCCCCCACTTTTCTGCATACCCAACAGGCTTATGGGAGAAGCCAAAATAATGGGAAGGTATAGCCCCTGTCCTTTGGGTCTCAGAGTGAGGATGACGTGGAGCCAACTCTCCTCATCCCCAACCCTGCTTGGGCAGGTAGCATTAGTGAGAAATAGTCCTTTGTTATTTTAAGTCACTGAAACACGGAGGTGGCTTGGAAGCCTGTCCTGACTCATGCAGTATCATATTAACTCGTTCTTGGAACCAGTTACTGGCTTTGCCAATCAACTAAAAAACCAAAACAAAGAAAAAAACAAAAGAAATAAATGAATGCCTAACGTGTGCTGTGCTTATTGCTGGAGACAGTAGGGATATAACGTTCACTGCCTCTGGGGTCACATGGCCTCCTCTTTTGTGTGTGTGTGTTTTCCACGAGTAAACCAAGTTTATTGTAGAAAATTGGAAAACACAGATGAGCTCAAAGAATAACAAATTATCCACACTAGTAGAGAAAAAACAGGTCAACATTTCTTTATGCATCTTTCCTTGCCTTTCTCTTAAAAGAACACTTGTCATTGAATTTAGGGTCCATCGGGACAACCCAGGATAATCTCATCTCAAGATCCTCAACTTAATTACATCTGCAAAGACCCTTTTTCCAAATAAGGTCATATTCACAGGTTCTCAGTGGACATATCTTTCAGGGGTCACTGTTGAATCCACTACATGAACACTTTCCCAGTGCCAGCTACTAGGCCAGGCAGTTTAACTTTTCACCTAACTTACTCTCCTGTTAAATCTCCAAAGTAGGTATTATCGTGTTCATTTTAAAGACCACGAAACTGAGTTTCAGGGAAGTGAAAAAAACATGTCCTAGGTTACACAAAGGTGGGAGCCAGGAGTTACACCTAGGTCTTATTCCTAAACTGGGGGATTTCATATATCAGTACATCTCTCCAAATGGATGTCATCTTCTTCAAACCACTGTTGCTTAAAAGATTTCTGGAACTCCTCTGCTTCAGAACCACTTCACAAGCCATGCAAGAAAAGCCTGCCTGCTTGCATTACTATCATCACAATTTGAATGTATTTGGTTTTAGGCAGCTTTATTTTCACATGATGTAGCTCACAGATTAAATTCTGCTTACAGTGAACAGGCCACAGCATTTGACGAATCAAAGCCTACGGCTTCCTCAAAGCACTAATTACTCAAAAGCCTATTAACCTGTTTAAACCCAGCCAAAGGCTTTGATATCCAATGGAGAGGCCTAGGTAGAGATAAGACCATTTGAAATGCCCCAGTACAAGGTGGGTGGTCCCCTGGTGTGACCTTTCTACTATGTTCCATGATGTCTGGAATGCATCTAGATATGGCCTGTTAGCCAAACATACATGAGTGGAGTCTGTATGTGTGTCTGTGTGCACACAATATGTCTTTCTTTTCTCCATAAATCCAGTCTGAGTTATCATGCACTACTGACTCCATCCCCAACAGCCACCTCCTGTCTCCTTTGCTAGAAATGCCTCCTCCCCTTTCTTTGCTAGAGGCTACATGACATCTAGAGTTGTGAAGCCAGCTCTACTGGTGGGGAAACAATTGCTGACCTGGAGATTCAGAACAGAATGATGAAAAATAGCTGTGATTTAACCAGCTGTGCCTGGAACATCCTACCTCTGGACTCAATGCAGGATCATCAATGCCTTTATCTGAATTTTGTGCTACCTACTCCAACAGCATCCTGTCTGATAACAGGAATTATAACAACAATAATGTAACATTCGGCCAGGCGCGGTGGCTCACGCCTGTAATCCCAGCACTTTGGGAGGCCGAGGCGGGCAGATCACGAGGTCAGGAGATCGAGACCATCCTGGCTAACACGGTGAAACCCCGTCTCTACTAAAAAATACAAAATAAATAAATAAATAAATAAATAAATAATTAGCCGGGCATGGCGGCAGGCGCCTGTAGTCCCAGCTACTCAGGAGGCTGAGGCAGGAGAATGGCATGAACTCGGGAGGCGGAGCTTGCAGTGAGCCGAGATCACGCCACTGAACTCTAGCCTGGGCAACAGAGGGAGACTCCATCTCAAAAAAAAAAAAAAAAAAAGTAACATTTGAGTATGTAGTATACGCTAGAAACTCTTCATAGATGATCACATTTAATTTTCACAACAATACTATGACACAGGTATTATTATTTCCATTTTACAGATGAGGAAACCAAGGTGAAGAGAGGGTACATAATGTACCCAAGGGCACATAGTGTAACAGAGGCAGGATTTGAACTCAGAGATATGTGCTTAACCCCTACACTAGGCTGGCTCTCATTGAATAACCATCCTGAAGCTATCCTCATAGGGTTAACAAGAATTCCAGACAGAAATATATTTATAATTAAGCTCGAATCAGGCTGCAATTTGACCCACTTGCTTGTAACTAGATACTGACCATTTGCTTCCCTGTTGTTCCTATAGACAGGATTTCTGAGACTAGAATCATAAGACTTGTTTTAGATAAATAGGATTTCTGATCTTACATTCATAAGGCTTTTGCATAAGAATTGCTTAAGATGTGTTTTGAGATCCAGAATTCCAGTGAAATAGCTGACACCAACTAGTTTGAAGACCCCATAGAGGAGTGGAATCAGCATGAGAATAGAGCTTCTTCATCTCCCTGTCCCGTGACTTCATCCTGTACTCTTCAACCAATCACAGTTCGTGGACCTATCTCCACACTTCCGGCCACTCCAAAACACTTAAAAATCCTAACCCCAAACTCCACGGGGAGATGGATTGGAGGTTTACTCACAGCTCCTCATTCGGAGGCCCTGCGGTTAAACCTCTTTCTCTGCTGCAACCTGGTGTCTGGCCATGGTATTGCCATGGTATTTACTTGCCATGCATATCAGGCAACAGACCTATTATGGTTACAGTCTGGGAATCCTTCTCCCCGACTTCCCTTTGTCATTTTGTATTACTCTGCTCTCCTCTACCCCTTCTTAGATCACTGATTATATTAGTCCATGTTCACACTGTTATAAAGAACTACCTGAGCCTGGGTTATTTACAAAGAAAAGAGTTTTGACTCACAGTTCTGCGTGGCTGGGGAGGCCTCAGGAAACTTACAATCATCATGGTAAAAGGTGAAGGGGAAGCAAGACAGGTCTTACATGATGGCAGGAGAGAGAAAGAGGGGTGGAGGGGAAGTGCCACACTTTTAAACCATCAGATCTTGTGAGAACTTACTCACTATCACTATAACAGCATGGGGGAAACTGCCCCCCGTGATCCAATCACCTCCCACCAGGTCCCTCCCTTGACATATGGGGATTGCAATTTCAGATGAGATTTGGGTGGGGACACAGAGCTAAGCCATATCACTGCTCTAGCCTAGGGACATGCCAAGTGTCCAAGGAGACCTTCATTCAGTGTTCAGTCTGCCAAACCATTTTTCTGCTAATATTAACCACCTTCTTGGTAAATGAGTGAGGGAACAGGAAGCCTTATCTTACCACCTGTTTTGTCAGTTCTTCCTGAAATGGATAAGCTATTTCCACTGGGTAAGTAACCTCAGTTCTTAGGCCCTTGGGCACAGAATAGATGTTTTCTCCTTGGAAGGAGGACATCAAATTTATTATCTGAGAGGAAGGAATGCTTGGAATCTCTTCCTTCTTTTGAAGTACTGGATTAAGAAGGATCCTTACTCTGATCAGCTAGTCATGCCTGCAGAGGGCTTGGGTGAGATGGAGGGTAGGGTGTGTGCTATGTGTTTGCCATTCTTGCCATGGCAAATAAAGAGACATTAAACTCAACAGAGAAAGGGACTTTATTTCTAGATTGAGTGACAGTGGAGGGTTATACCTTTAAGTTAACTTTGCTTTGAATATCACCCCACGAGTGAAAAAGAAAAAGTGTGATATAAATGGCAAGGAAGAAGCACCTGTGCGAGGTGGTTTTCCAAATCTCTTGGCATCCTAATTACAGGGTTAAATTGGTGGAGAAGCCCTGTTCCCATAGGTTAAAAGTAAATTTTAAATTAGTCCAAATTAAATGGCCACAGATTCATGGTCAAATGGTTTTCATTTAATGAGATTTTACTATCTAGCATCTGTATCTATAAAAGTTATTTTTAAAAATTTTATTTATTTATTTTCAGATGGAGTCTGGCTCTGTCGCCCAGGCTGGAGTGCAGTGGTGCAATCTCAGCTCACTGCAACTTCCGCCTCCCAGGCTCAAGTGATTCTCCTGCCTCAGCCTCCTGAGTAGCTGGGATTACAGGCATGCGCCACCATATCTGGCTAATCATTGTGTTTTTAGTAGAGATGGGGTTTCACCATGTTGGCCAGGCTGGTCTCAAGCTCCTGACCTCAGGTGATCTGCCCACCTTGGTCTCCCAATGTGCTGGGATTACAGGCGTGAGACACCGCACCTGGCCTATATTTATAAATGTTATTTTTAAATGAATGCATTCTGTGAGTAGAGGCTTAGAAGAAAAATGGATCAATAGTTTAGCTCAGTCATTGGATTTCAATAGAAATCCTCTCCAACTCCTGCCTGTATTGCTGTTCCCAGTTCTCGGTGCCATCTTTGAAGCTGTCTTTGTTTTACTTGTTGTGGTCATGGGGAGTTACTGGCTCCTTTGTTCACAGGAATCTGAGACTCACTGTGATCATTCCTGGGGGAACAGCTTCATCAGAAGCTAGTCTGGAGAAACTCCAAGAATGTGGTGTACTTCAGTGTCCTGAAAGTGTGCCTCTTGATGGGGGTGGGTGGGCCGGCCACTGGAGGTTGGGTGGTTCTCCCAAGCCTCGCAACAGTGTGCTCTTAATGAATTACAACTGCTCCCATTTTGTTGCCATCAGGTTTTAGGGTACTTGTCAAAGAAGCCCCCCCAGTGCCCCGCAAGGCTTGTCCAAAAAAAAAAAAACAAAACAAAAACAAACAAAAACACTCCAACCTGTTTTTCTATTTCCTTCTTTGGTTCCCTTTTTGCTCAAAGGATCTTGGCAAGATTATGAAATAACTGGTACTTTTCTTTCCAGGCTTTCTTTGCTGCATTCTATTTGCTCTCTGTGCAAACTCCCCAAAAAATCTATGGGGAGCTTTCCTTTTCTGAGCATTTCCTATGATTCAGGCCTGTCTGGGCAATTTATATTCATATTAGCACTCATTTAAATTCTCTCAGTAAGTTTCTATGCTATTTTAAAGAGCAGAGAAACTGAGGCTCAGGGAGGTTAAGTAACTTTGCAGTTTCCTCCTATGCAACTGAGGTCTGAAATAATCTCTGTGGCATGTCCTCCCCAGGCTGCCTCTTGCCTGCTCTGAGACCCCTGATTTCTCCTCCTGTCCCCTACAGCATCTACTTTCCACAGGCTAGATCTTCCCAGCCATTATCCTTTGTTCTCATTGGTTTTCTATTCCATCACTTCCCCTGATGGCAGAGTGCTGCCTCTTTAGAATACAAATCCAATCACACTCTCCCCCGGCATAAATTATGTGTAGTTCCCCATTGCTTTCCAAGAATCCAAGCCCAGCCTCTCTGGCCTGGTATGGCCTTTGCCCTTCACACTCCTGCCCATTGCTCTCTCTCCCCTTCCCTCATCCCCACCAGTTACATTCATCCTTGTGCTTTGTACAGAATTACTGGCAGCACCTAACATTCCCTCACTTCTCTTTTACCATCATTCCTTTGCTCATAATATTCTCTCCTGCCTAAAATGAGCAAGTTTCTGCCCGTCCTTCCACCGAAGAGTCACTGCTCCCGGGAGCCATTCTCATTGCAGGTGCCCAGCTGCCATAGGCCATGCTGTGCAGGACTCTCTTACAGCAGGAGAGCCAGGTCTCTGACCTGGGCTTGGTGCTGGAGATCCCCCTCCTCCAGCTGAGCCCCTGCCCACCTAGCACGTCCACCCTCTCTTCTAGACCACAACCTGGCTGTCAGGATTCAGGAATTATTTGCCCAAATGGACCCCACCTGTTTTCAGGGCCTGAGAGGTCAGGCTGTGCACTCTGAGGTCAGAGGGATGGCCAAGGGGAGGTCACTTTAGGGAGAGAGGTTCTTTGTATGAACGGAGCTTGGACTTACAGGCTGGCTTGGACACAAATGTGCATTCGAGGCCTTTTTCTGATGTCCCATGAAGCCAGGGTGGGAATGGAAAGGAGTCAAGCTGGGATTGAAAACACCCCTTTTCTTGGCACTACAAACATTACATAAGTCCCATCCTTACCAATGGGCTTCTTTTCCTTTTTCTTGAGAAGGGACGCTACCACCTGAGGTGGAACCTTGTTACAAGCTGCACTGGAAGAATTCTGGGAGTCAGACTACAGATGAGCATCTAGAGCCAGAAGTTTTATTTTGGTTGAGAAAGAGTTAAGTCTGGATTAGAAGGCCAGTCTTGGGTGGGGTTGATCAGAATGCATGGTCAAAAGACAGTGCCTTTGAATTATTGTCAGTGCCACGAGACTTTCAAGTGGCACTTCAGAAGGTTGAGTTGAGGGCCACATCTTGCCAGTGCCTTTCGCTGAGTGCTACACCATGGAAAATCACCCTCTCAACTGCCTGTGCTCACTTCCCATGGCTGAAGCTGATACATCCCCTGCCAATACACTTTAAGAGGGACAGTGACAAGCTGGAACTTTCCAGAGTAAAGCCAACAGGAGTCTAGGTGTGTGCCATAGAAGGAGTTGGAGATGTTTGCTTGGAAGAGGAGACTCAGCAGGCAGGGCAATTATCTTCAAATCAATGATATATATAATTCAGATGATGAAATACTAGGTAAATAACTGGTCAAAGAGCTCATGATGCTTGATGAATTGAAAGAAGCAATTTGTAGAATAGTATGCTTAGTGTGTTCTCATATTTTGTTTAAAAATATTAACAAATATGTGTGTGTGTGTTTATGTTATCTATCTATGTATCTCTATCATGTATCTATGTATCTATATATGTATGTATGTATGTATCTATCTCTCTATGCACCCATTGGATATAATGTTTCAGAAGTAGAACAGTTTATAAAACTCAGTTTTTCAGTTTATGAAAATGGATTTCTTAAACCTCTACATCTAAACTTAACAAAACTAGACTCTCCTTTTCTATGAGGAAAACCTGTGATCTTGCAATCACAGGGCACTTATTTCATTTCTGGCCTTAACTTTCATGCGCGTCCGTGTGAAGAGACCACCAAACAGGCTTTGTGTGAGCAACAAGGCTGTTTATTTCACCTGGGTGCAGGCAGGCTGAGTCCGAAAAGTCAGTGAAGGGAGATACGGGTGGGGCCATTTTATAAGATTTGGGTAGGTAAAGGAAAATTACAGTCAAAGGGGGGTTGTTCTCTGACGGGCAGGAGTGGGGGTCACAAAGTGCTCAGTAGGGGAGCTTTTGAGCCAGGATGAGCCAGGAGAAGGAATTTCACAAGATAATGTCATCAGTTAAGGCAGGAACAGGCCATTTTCACTTCTTTTATGGTGGAATGTCATCAGTTAAGGCAGGAACAGGCCATCTGGATGTGTACATGCAGGTCACAGGGGACATGATGGCTTAGCTTGGGCTCAGAGGCCTGACATTCCTGTCTTCTTATATTAATAAGAAAAATAAAACAAAATAGTGGTAAAGTGTTGGGATGGCAAAAATTTTGGGAGATGGTATGGAGAGATAATGGGCGATGTTTCTCAGGGCCACTTCGACTGGGATTAGGGGCGGTGTGGGAACCTAGAGTGGGAGAGATTAAGCTGAAGGAAGATTTTGTGGTAAGGGGTGATATTGTGGGACTGTTAGAAGAAATATTTGTCATTTAGAATCATTGGTGATGGCCTGGATACGGTTTTGTATGAATTGAAAAACTAAACAGAATAAGAGAAGGAGAAAAACAGGTATTAAAGGTCTAAGAATTGGGAGGACCTAGGACATCTAATTAGAGAGTGCCTAAGGAGATTCAGCATAGTCCTGTCAGCAAAGATTATTTATTTACTTCAAGAGTTAAGAGTGGCAGTTTGGGGATAGCACCAGGAGATATCAGCTGTGATGGCTTGGAGAAACAGTGTAAACTGGCAGTGTAAACAAAAGCAGGGCATGTATGAGTAGTTGAGAATGGTGAATAGGAGTATGACTAGACAGAAGATAGTAGGGATGACAAGTTTTTTTGGGGCACAGTCCAAGTTGGTCTGGTGTCTGGAATGAGATTGGGTCTTAATAAAAAAAGGAGCGTCCATACAGGAGCTCAAATGGGCTGTACCCTGTAGCATTCTGAGGACAGGCCTGAATTCTGAGAAGGGAAAGTGGTAAAAGTATTGTCCATTCCTTTTTAAGTTGGTGGCTGAGCTTGGTGAGGTGTGTTTTTAAAAGACCTTTAGTCCGTTCTACTTTTCCTGAACACTGAGGACTGTAAGGGATATATAAAGGCTTCACTGAATACCAAGAGCCTGAAAAACTGCTTGGCTGATTTGACTAATAAAGGCTGGTCCATTATCAGACTGTATAGAGGTGGGAAGGCTAAACAGAGGAATTATGTCTGACAGAAGGGAAGAAATGACTGTGGTGGCCTTCTCAGACCCTGTAGGAAAGGCCTTTACTTATCCAGTGAAAATATCTACTTAGACTAAGAGGTATTTTTGTTTTCTGACTCAGGGCATGTTGAATAAAGCCAATTTGCCAGTTCTGGTTGGGGGCAAATCTCTGAGCTTGATGTGTAGGGAAGGGAGGGGGCCTGAATAATCCCTGAGAAGTAGTAGAATAGCAGATGGAACACTGAGAAGTTATTTCCTTGAGGATAGATTTCCACAATGGAAAGGAAATGAGAGGTTCTAAGAGGTGGGCTAGTGGCTTGTACTATAGCATAGCCTGCCTTTGCTGCTGTGTGGCCATTAGGCCTGGTGGAACTGCCATCAATAAACCAAGTGTGATCAGGGTGAGGAACAGGAAAGGAGGAAATATGGGGAAATGGGATGAATGTCAGGTGGATCAGAGAGATACAGTCATGGGGGTCAGGTGTGGTATCAGGAATAATGTGGGAGGCCGGATTGAAGTCCCGGCCAGGAATAATGGTAATTGTGGGAGACTTAACAAAGAGTGAGTACAGCTGAAGGAGCCGGGGAGCAGAAAGTATATGTGTCAGGTGTGAGGAAGAAAATAGACTTTGGAAGTTATGAGAACTGTAGAGGGTGAGTTGAGCATAGTTTGTGATTTTAAAGGCCTCTAAAGTATTAGGGCGGCAGCAGCCACTGCACGGAGATGTGATGGCTAGCCTGAAACAGTAAGGTCAAGTTGTTTGGACAAAAAGGCTACAGGACGCGATCCTGGTCCTTGTGTAAGAATTCTGACTGCACAGCCCTGCACTTCAGCTGTGGGTAACGAAAAGGGTCGGGATGAGTCAGGGAGAGCTAGGGTGGGGGCAGCCTCTAAAGCTGTCTTCAAGGAACAGATGATTGGGGAAAGGATTTATGATGTATGGGGTCAGCTAGCTTTCTTTTTGTGAGTTTATATAACGGTTTTGTTAGGATGGCAAAACCAGTTATCTAAAGTCAAAAGTATCTAACCATGCCTAGGAAGGAAAGGAGTTGTTTTGTAGATGGCGTTGGGGTTTGAGAGATCAGCTGGACATGATCAGCAGGGAGAGCACATGTGTTTTTATGAGAATTACGCTGAGATAGGTAACAGATGAGAAAGAAATTTGGGCTTGACTGAAGTAATGGAGGCTGTCTGTGAAGCTTGGCGGCAGTACAGTCCAGGTAATTTGCTGAGCCTGATGGGTGTCAGGGTCAGTCCAAGTGAAAGCGAAGAGAGGCTGGGATGAAGGGTGCAAAGGAATAGTAAAGAAAGCATGTTTGAGATCTAGAACAGAATAATGGATTCTGGAGGGAGGTATTGAGGATAGGAGAGTATATGGGTTTGACACCACTGGGTGGATAGGCAAAACAATTTCGTTGATAAGGCGCAGATCCTGAACTAACCTGTAAGGCTTGTTTGGTTCTAGGACAGGTAAAATGGGGGAATTGTAAGGAGAGTTTATAGGCTTTAAAAGGCCATGCTGTAACAGGTGAGTGATAACAGGCTTTAATTCTTTTAAAGCATGCTGTGGGATGGGATATTGGCATTGAGCGGGGTAAGGGTGATTAGGTTTTAATGAGATGGTAAGGGGTGCATGATCGGTCACCAAGGAGGGAGTAGAGGTATCCTATACTTGTGGGTTAAGGCAGGGGGATACAAAAGGAGGACACAAAGTAGGCTTTGGATTGGGAAGAAGGGTGGCAATGAGATGTGGCTGTAGTCCAGGAATAGTCAGGGAAGCAGATAATTTAGTTAAAGTGTCTCGGCCTAATAAGGGAACTGGGCAGGTGGGGATAACTAAAAAGGAGTGCTTAAAAGAGTATTGTCTAAGTTGGCACCAGAGTTGGGGAGTTTTAAGAGGTTTAGAACCTTGGCCGTCAATACCCACAACAGTTATGGAGGCAAGGGAAACAGGCCCTTGAAAAGAAGGTAATGTGGAGTGAGTAGCCTCTGTATTGATTAAGAAGGGGACGGACTTACCTTCCACTGTGAGAGTTACTCAGAATGTCTGTGATGGTCCTGTAGGCTTCCGAGGAGATCCGGCAGTGTCAGTCTTCAGCTGCAAAGCCAAGAAGATTTGGGAAGGAGTCAGTCAAAGAGCCTTGGGCCAGAGTTCCAGGGGCTCTGGGAGTGGTTGCCAGGTGAGTTGAACAGTCCGATTTTCAGTGGGGTCCTGCACAGGTGGGACACGGCTTAGGAGGAATCCCGGGTTGTGGGCATTCCTTGACCTGGTGGCCAGATTTCTGGCACTTGTAGCAAGCTCCTGGGGGAGGTGGGCCTGAAGGAACACCTGGCCACTGCGGTTTAGGCGTTTGGAAGTTCTTGTATGCCAGAGATGTGGCCGGGGTTTGTCTCACAGTGGAGGCAAGGAATTGCAACTGAGAAATATGTTGCTACTTGGCTGCCTCTACTCTATTATTATACACCTTGAAGGCGAGGTTAATTAAGTCCTGTTGTGGGGTTTGAGGGCTGGAATTTAATTTTTGGAGTTTTATTTACTGTTGGGAGCGGATTGGGTAATAAAATGCATATTGAGAATAAGACGGCTTCCTGGCCCTTCAGGGTCTAGGGCTGTAAAGTGTCTCAGGGTTGCTGCCAAACGAGCCATGAACTGGGCTGGGTTTTTATATTTGATGAAAAAGAGCCTAAACGCTTCTGATTTGGGATAAGGAAAAAGGAACATTAACCTTGACAATGCCTTTAGCTCCAGCCACCTTTTTAAGAGGAAATTGCTGGGCAGGTGGGGAAGGGCCAGTCACGGAACAAAACTGTAAGCTGGACTGGGTGTGAGGAGGGGAGGTGATAAAAGGATTATGGGGTGGAGGAGCAGAGGCTGAGGAAGAATTGGGACCTAGCTTGGCCTGGCGAGGAGCGGGGAGGTCAGATGGGTCTGTAGAAAAGGAAGATTAGAAAGACTCAGCAACACTTGGGGTTGGGACTGAGGGGACAGTTGGGAGGGAAGGAAGATTTGGGACGAGTTGCATTGGGAACAGAGACTGGGGGGGACCGATGTGTAAAAGAATGCCTGGACGTCAGGCACCTCAGACCATTTGCCCATTTTACGACAAGAATTATTTAGATCTTGTAGGATGGAAAAATTGAAAGTGCCATTTTCTGGCTATTTGGAACCACTGTCGAGTTTGTATTGGGGTCAAGTGGCATTGCAGAATAAAATAAGGCATTTAGGTTTTAGGTCAGGTGTGAGTTGAAGAGGTTTTAGGTTTTTAAGAACACAGGCTAAGGGAGAAGAAGGGGGAATGGAGGGTGGAAGGTTGCCCATAGTGAAGGAGGCAAGCCCAGAGAAAAGAGAGAGTAGAGACACAGAGGGAAGGGGTTTGGGGGTTCTTACTTTCCAGAAAAGCGGGAAAAGGATCGGGGCATGGAAATAAGGGATCAGGGCACAGAGATAAGAGGTCGGGGCACAGAAATAAGGGATGGGGTACAGAGATAAGAGGTCGGGGTGCAGAAATAAGGGATTGGGGCACAGAGATAAGAGATTGGGGTGTGGAAATAAGGGATGGGGTGCAGAGATAAGAGGTTGGGGCATGGAAACAAGGGATTGGGGCATAGAGATAAGAGGTTGGGGTACAGAAATAAGGGATTGGGGGTTCTTGCCCCCAGAAAAGCAGAGAAGGGGTAGAGACATGGAGAGAAGGGGTTGGGGGGTTCTTGCCCCCTAGAAAAGCGGTACTTGCCGCTAAGGGTGAAGGAGAAAGGGTTGGGGGGTTCTTGCCCTCAGAAAAGTGGAGAAGGGTTAGAGACAGGGAGAGAAGGAGTTGGGGGGTTCTTGCCCCCCAGAAAAGTGGTACTTGCTGCTAAGGGTGAAGGACCAAGGCAGGCATCCCTGCGTGGTCAGACACCTCTGAAACATGGGTGAATAATCAGAGAGGCATCCCTGCAATGATTAAACACCAAGGGAAGGCTGCCTTCCCAAGCCCGTGACCGGCACCAGAGTTTTGGGCCCATGGATAAAACGTGTCTCCTTTGTCTCTACCAGAAAATGAAAGGAATTGAAATTAAGAGAAGGGAGAGATTGAAGGGTGGCACCAAGATTGAAAGGAGAACGTGGTTAAGGGATAGTGAGAGAGGATGGAGAAGAGAGTAAGAAGAGGCCGCTTACCTGATTTAAAATTGGTGAGATGTTCCTTGGGCTGGTGGGTCTGAGGACCCGTGGTCATAGGTGGATCTTCTTCATGGAGCAAAGAGCAAGAGGACAGGGGATTGATCTCCCAAGGGATGTCCCCCAATCTGAGTCACAGCACCAAATTTCATGTGTGTCGGTGTGAAGAGACTACCAAACAGGCTTTGTGCGAGCAACAAGGCTGTTTATTTCACCTGGGTGCAGGCGCGCTGAGTCCGAAAAGAGAGTCAGCAAAGGGAGATAGGGGTGGGGCCGTTTTATAAGATTTGGGTAGGTGAAGGAAAATTACAGTCAAAGTGGGGTTGTTCTCTGGCGGGCAGGAGTGGGGGTCACAAGGTGCTCAGTAGGGGAGCTTTTGAGCCAGGATGAGCCTGGAGAAGGAATTTCAAAAGATAATGTCATCAATTAAGCCAGGAACAGGCCATTTTCACTTCTTTTGTGGTGGAACGTCATCAGTTAAGGCAGGAACAGACCATTTTCACTTCTTTTGTGGTGGAATGTCATCAGTTAAGGCAGGAACTGGCCATCTGGATGTGTACGTGCAGGTCACAGGGGATATGATGGCTTAGCTTGGGCTCAGAGGCCTGACATTAACTTTTATCTTTTTGGAGGAAATGTCAGTTAATTATCTCTCACCTTGACACTCTCTCCATCAGGTTGCATCTGGGTGCAGGTGAGCTGCGTGTCTGTTTAAGGAGTTTCTCTGCTGGCTGAGTACTGCGTGTCCTGGTGCTGGTCTCAGGAGCGGAGGTGCCAGCCTTCTTGATTTAAATGGACCTGGGAATGGTGTCTGTGCCTGTGCAGTGGTCTCTGCTAGGTGACACATGCAGATTTCCTTTGCCATTTTGGCTGCATGTTGAGTTCCTATTGCCGATGCCTCTCAGAGGTGCCTCGCTGGCCACTTTTGGCCTCCACCAGTGTTATGTGTGGCACTGCTAGCTTACTCTTGTGCCTTAGATAATCGTTGACCTCTTGGGGTGATCAAGAGAAACTGAGTCGTTTTTTATGGCCCTTGGACCTCAGGAAGCTAATGGTTATTGATGTGATAGGGCAGAGTAGTCAACCCTCTCATACTTACTGGTGAGGGAGGCACTTAGGTGAGACTTCTGCATTAAAAAATCTTAAATCAAGGTGAACACACAAGTTCCCTACATTTGGAGTCACCTCTAATCTCAAGGGAGAGTCTTCTGATCCACCACTATGGAAGGCGGGAGGGGTACGTGGCTCTTACTCTTCCTTTTCCAATCAGTAACTCCACCACCACTATCACCACTGTATATACAGTATCACACTGTAGGAATTTATTGCAATACACCCAAGAACATGTAGGCTGTTTCCTTTTTTGTTTATTACACGTAGTGCTCTTATACATGTCTCCTGAGGTACATATGCAGAGTTTCTCTAGGGCTATTATATAGTAAAGAATTTGTCTGGTCTTTGTTCCCAGTTACCAGCACAGAGCTTCAAAACCCTTGGAAATTCCTGAGCCATAGGAGTGTCTTTGTTATGATAATGGGGTGACTCACAGTGGATTCCTACACAGCTTCAGGATGGAGCTGGTCGTCAAAAAGATTGAGCATTAGAGGGTTGGGACTTTCAGCTGCCTGAGCTCTTGGGAGAGGTAGGGGGCTAGAGACCAAGTTCAGTCACCTTGCCAATGATTCAATCAAACTTGCCTGTGTAATGAAACCTTAATAAGAACTCAGGACAAAGGTCAGTGGAGTTTCCTGGTTGGTGTGCTGGAAGGGTGATGTGCCCTGACTCACAAGGAGAGGGCATAAGATCTCTGAGTTTGGGTCAGGGTCCGAGACCCACTCTATGCATATTTATTTTATTATAAATAAAACTATAATTGTAAGTATAATGCTTTTAGTGAGTTCTGTAAGTTATTATCACAAATTATTGAACCTGAGGGGGGCCACTGGGAATTCCCCAATTTATAATCACTTGATCAGAAGTGTATGTGGCATCTGAATGGAGGGTAGTCCAGTGGAGAACTTTGCCCTTGGCCTGTGGGGTTTTCACAGACTGGGTGGTTAGTGTCAGAAGTGTATTGCAGTACACCCAGTTGGGAGGAAACAGCACAGAGGTATATACCTAGGAGTGGAATTGCTGCCATGTTGTTTTCCAAAGTGATTGACCAATTCACACCCTGATCAGTGCAGTGTAAGTGTTCAGTTAGTTCCTCCTCACTCTTGACAAATGGTGGGCTTTCTAATTTATGCCAATCTGGTGACTTTCATGACTTTCTCACTGTAATTTTACTTTGAATTTCCCTTTTTCCTAAAGAGATCAAATATCTTTTCATATGTTGATTGCATTCAGGTTTCCTCTTTTATAAGGAGCTTATCGGTCTTCCTTATCTTTTTCTTAGATTGTCTTTTTCTTACTGATTACATATATATGATATTACTTTCTGTCTTTACTTTTCACTTTCATTTTGATGCCTTTTGAATACTTTTAATATAGTAGTAGTATTCATCTTTTTCTATGTGGTTTATGCTTTCTAGGTCTTGTTTAAGAAATAAATCCTTATCCTCAAAGTCTTAAATTTCTTTCTCTGTATTTTGTTCTTAAATTAAAATTTTGTTCTTCACACTTGTGTTTAATCTCTCTGGAATTAATTTTTCTGCATTATATAAGGTAAGGGGCCAATTTTGTTTGTTTCTATATAAATAACCAATTACTCTAGCACCACTTATTGATTAGTTCTTCTTTGCTACTGAAATGTTAGGTCTGTAATAAACCAATTTCTTGTATGTAAGAAAGTTTATTGATGGCTATTCTATTTCACTGGTCCATTTGCTCATTTTGTGCTAATACCATACTGACTTCATTGGCACCTGCTGAGATAAATTATTCAAATTCATTCTAATGTCTTAGTTATTTTTGGCCCTTTGTTCTTCCAAATATACATACTGGAATCAGCAAGGTCTATTAAAATAAAAACTTTGAAATTTATTTAGAATTTTATTTATTCTGAAGGTTAGTTTGGGGATAACTGACCATTATATGACATTAATCCTCTCAATCCATTAATACGGTATGGCTCTCTATTTATTCTTTAATAACTTTCAATATAGGTCTTGTACAATTTTTATTACATTTATTCTTAGATACTCTATATTGATATTTGTTGTTAAAATTATGTACTGTTATAAATTATATTACTCTGTCAGTAATGATCACTCAGAAAACCTCTTTGACACACAAGTAGAACTACAATAAACATCTCTGTGTATATTCCTTACAGACCTTCATAAGAGTATACTTGGGATCTATCCCTGGGAATGGAATTGTAGGCTCATGAGGAATACATATTCCTAATTTGATGAAGTAATCCCAAAGGTACTTCTGAACAGTTCTCACCAGCAGTATATGGGGTTTCTGTGTCTCCACTTCTCCAACACTTGACCCTAGAGGCATTCCTATTTTTTGCCAATCTAATAGGTGTAAAGGGATATCTCACTGTTATTTTAATTTGATTTTGATTCCTAATAAGTTTGAGCATCTCTTCATATACTTAATAGTTTTTTCTCTTGTAAAATGTTTTAAAATATTTTTGCTCACTTTTGGGTTTCTGTTTTTCTTCGTGATTTGCAGTAATTGTATAGTCTAGATATTATTTCCTTGTTGATTTTAGTCATTGCAAAGATCTTCTAATCTATTGTCCTACATTAAACAGACATCTTTCCTTTTGATGTAATTAATTTAATGCTTTTTGCCTTATAATTTATATTTTTGAAAATGTTTAAAAAATCCTTCCTTGCCTCTAATATGATCACAAAAATATTCTGAATTTTGTGAAATTAATTTTATATTTGTATTACCTGTCATATTTAGGCCTTTAATTCATTAGAAGTCCACCTTTGATTGCAGTTATAGGTTTAAATTCAGTTCTAATGACCTATTCTTTCTCAATTGATTCATGGTATCACCTTTGT
Source organism: Homo sapiens (assembly GCF_000001405.40). Taxonomy (NCBI): domain Eukaryota; kingdom Metazoa; phylum Chordata; class Mammalia; order Primates; family Hominidae; genus Homo; species Homo sapiens. The sequence continues at coordinate 92,507,952 of NC_000015.10, read as the reverse complement.
CACATATTCAATTTCGATACACACACGTGCACATGCATGTATACATAGGTTTGGCTCAAACCTGTAGGTTTTACTCTCTATCTTCTTCCATTGGTCTGTTTATATATTCTTTCTCCACAATAAAAATGTTTCTATTAATATGTTAATATGGCTTTGTGTACTGTCTTACTGTCTGTTAGGAAAAGACCCTTTATTTTTTAAAGGTTTTTATGTTGATATGTGTTTTATTTCTTTTAAGTAAATATCCAGGAGTAGGACTTCTGGATTGCAAGCAAATGTATGTTTAACTTTATACAACACTGCCAGAGCTTTCTCCAAAGTTGCCATACCATTTTGCATTCCCACTAGCAGTGCGTGAGAGTTCCAGTTGCTCCATATCCTTTTCAGCACTTGATAATGTCAATTGTTTAAAGTCTAGCCATTGTAATGGGTGTGTAGTGTTTGTGACATGTATTTTCAATTCAATTATTATATTTTCCATTTCTAGAAGTTCTATTTATGCTTTTTTTAATCTGCTTAATTATTTTTAGATACACTTGCTTCTTACTTATCTCTCCTTTACTTTTTTCCCTTTAGATTTTATTCATTTATTTTTAATAGACTTTAGTTTTTAGAGCAGTTTTAGGTTCACAGCAAAATTGCACAGAGTTCCCATATTCCCCTTGCCCTCACACATGCACAGCCTCTCCATCATCAACATCCTACACCAGAGTAGTACAGTTGTTACAATCAACAAACCTACATTGGCACATCATTATCAGCCAAAGCCCATAGTTTACAAGAGTTCACTTTCAGTGTTGTACATTGTATGGGTTTTGAAAAGCATATAATAACATGTTTCTACTATTACAATACCACATAAAATAGTTTCACTGCCCTAAAGATCCTCTGTGGTCTGCCTATTCATCCCTCCCTCCTCTAACCCCTGGCAACAACTAATCATGTTACTCTCTCTATATTTTTGCCTTCTCCAGAATATCATACAGTTGGAATCATACCGTATGTAGCCTTTTTACTTTGGCTTCTTTCACTTAGTAATATACATTTAAGCCTCCTTTACTTTCAAAAGAACATATCAAACCTACTTTATATTCTGTGTCTGATAACTCAGTAGCTCCCATGTTCGCAGATTTCATTCTGCTGTCTATTTTTTGTCTGGCTTTGGTTCATGACTTCCTGTTGATTGTGAGCTCGTATTTCATGCAACTTTATCTGAAGAAATGTTTTGAGGGCTGTGTTGAAGATGACTTCCTTCAGATAGGGAAGCCATTGTTTGTTGTCAGGTGTCTGGGGGAACTACCAACCCAAGAGTATTTGAAACTGTCACCTGGAGGTTTTTAAAAATCAACCAGGTAGTTTGAATTCAGTCTATGCCTGCATGAGTATGACTCGAGATTACACACTCTCGAGGGAGATTTTTTTCTCCTCTACTCACCAGAAAGGTTTGACACAGACAATTTTCTTTGAAATTCTTGGAGAAGCAGGATTATTTCTAGATCATTTTTTTTTTTTTTTTTTGAGACAGAGTCTTGCTCTGTTGCCCAGGCTGGAGTGCAGTGGCGCAATCTGGGCTCACTGCAAGCTCCGCCTCCCGGGTTCAAGTAATTCTCCTGCCTCAGCCTCCCGAGTAGCTGGGACTACAGGCGCCCACCACCATGCCCGGCTAATTTTTTTTTTATATTTTTAGTAGAGATGGGGTTTCACCGTGTTAGCTAGGGTGGTCTCGATTTCCTGACCTCGTGATCCACCCGCCTCGGCCTCCCAAAGTGTTGGGATTACAGGCGTGAGCCACCGTGCCTGGCTCTAGATGACTTTTATGTGGCGGGTGTAGCGTTTAGTGTCCCAGCTTTTTGTTGGGGGTCTCCTGTCACACTTCTCATTTCAAAGGGGCCCTCAACTTCGCTTTGCTATTAGGAAATATGGGAAGGAAATCGGGTTGGGCAGGCAACTAACACTGTCTACTACAAAACACTATCTTAAATAAACATGTCATTAAGATAATGAATGTAAAAAGCAAGGACAAAGGAACAGGAACAAAATCCTTACAGGTTTACCTGAAGACATGGTGTGAGTTGACTCTAAGGCTTTACACATCTCTTTCTGCATTAAGATTCAGACAACGTTTTCTCATTCTGGAAATGTTCCTTGTGCTTTTGGCAGTATGCCTGTAGAGGTCAGCTAGCAAAGCATTTAATTCATCTCCTTTAAAAAACAAAACTATATATACACATAATAAATACATATATAAATGTATATGTTAATTTCTGCCATATTTCTAATAGTACACTAATAATATAGAATATACACTATATAATATATTGCATATATTTAATACATATAATGTATCATATATAGAATATATATACTACATATAATATATATTATAGATTATTAATGTCAACATAATTATATTATTATAAATATGAATATATTATATGACAATATTATATTAATACAGAATATATTAATATATTATATATTATATTTAACATTCATATTAGTATCGTAATATATCAATATACAACATATAACCATATATGCATAATATATAATATAGTATAATGTATAAGTTTCTCATTATATTTAATATATTACAATATAAAAACTATATTATAATTAGTGTTAATACTATATTATGATATATAGTATATCTATTATACTATTAGTGTACTGTTAGAAATATGGCAGAAATGAACACACTCCAACTCTGACGTGAACAAACATCCGGAGTGTCAGTTCTTGCCGGTACTGACAGAGATTGGGGGCTCTTTCACTATAACGATGCTCTGTAAGCATTCTTGGCTTCTTTCTTCTTGCTGCCTGATGAATTCATTAGGATAAATTACTGGAAGCAAAATCACAGGAGGAAATGCATGCTGATTTAAAATTTGGAGAGGTATTACCTAATTTTTATTCAGGTACTCTCTCACTAGCAGAGTGTGAGAGTTCTTTTTCCCTCATACCCTAGCCAACACTGGATATCATAAAAAAAAAATCTCTTGCACAGTCTCTAGTAATCTTGTAAGAGTTCTTATAAGTTAGTTCTAACTCTCATCTATAAATATCCATTCAAATTCAATGTTCAAACATCTACTGGGCCAGTTTTTCTTCTCTCAAATGTTTTCTCTACTCTCTTCAATTTTGAAAGATGGTGTTTGGGTATAGTGAAGAAGCTATGTGATTTCATGGCAAAGTGCCTGGTTAATGGAGGGGCGCTTTTGCCCCTGGATTCTTGTTGACTTTCCTGCCGAAAGTCTTTGTCCTGCCTGCTCCATGGGCACCCTACTGGCATCTGCTACTTACTTTTGCCGAAGGTGGGATTTAGTTCTTCCCCTACCTGCGCTGGCTAGGCTCCATCTAGGTTATTGTTGCAGATCTTGAGCCTTTGGTCACATTTTCCTTCTGGTCCCTGGATTAGGCCTTCCTTCCTGCAATGTTGGCCTTCCCCGGGCTCACCTTGCCCCTTCCAACTATCGTCTCACTTTGGACCTGCTGACAGTCATCCTGCACTCCCCAGTGGTAAGTGAGTGTGAGGGTTCTGGTGGCTTTCTCACTGGGTAAATATCTACAAAGTGTCCCAACCTATATACACTCAGGCTAGGTAGATAAACTGGCCAGCACAGATATCCATCACTCCAAAATTTCTTCTGTGAATATATATCTATGGAAGGGTTGGAATTAGGGGAACCTTCTCTCTCCTCTCTTCATGTTTCCAAGGGGTGGGACCTCCATTAAAGTTACACTCCAGCTTTTCTCTAATGCCTCACTTAATCCTCTGAACTAGAGGGGTTTGGAGAAGAAGGTGGGCCTGTGAAGCTCTGCAGCTCCTCCTCCCTGGGATCTGCAGTCTGCTTTGGGGTTCCCTGCTGTGAGTTTTTCAAGAACAGGCCGTGGCACTGTTGAGGGAGCCTGTGTTTGTTCGATGTTGCCTGTGGCTGGGTAGGCAAGGTAGTCGGTTGTGAGGTTCTGTATTGGGAAGTCCATAGTATTCCTTCCTCTCTCTCTCCCTCATATATTTGTTTAATTCCCTATGGGTGATCATTAAGTTGTTTCCACGTTTTACTGTTAAAACATGCTGCTTTGTAAACATTCTTGTACATATTTTTTTCCTGCTTCTCTGATAAACTCGTTAGGATGAATTACTAGAAGGAGAATTGCAGGGTCAAATGTAAGCTAATTTTAAATTTGGAGAGGTATTATCTAATTTTTCTTCAGTTATTCTCTGATCAGTGCAGTGTGGGAGTTCCTCTTCCTCCATACCCAGCCAACACTGCTTATAATTAATGTTTTTTAAAAAAATCTTTGCTCATCTGCTAGCTGAAATATTGTTTTAATTTCCATTCGTTTTATTACTAGTGAGGTTGAACATCTCTTTAAATTTGTTTTTCTTCTTTAATTTCCTTTTGCATGTTCTTTGCAAATTTTTCCATTAGGGTGGTTTTTCCTTCTCCTTTGATTTGTGCAAGCTATTTTTACGTTAGGGACCTCAATCCTTTGTTGGTGGCAGATTAGTGTAGTGGTGGAAAGCTTGGGTTTTCCAGATGTGATTTTGGACTGAGTTACTTAAACTCTGTCTTCGCTTTTTCATCTCTAAGTTAATGCATATTTCATCAATATGAAATTTCGCTGCTTTCCTCTCACCACCACCCCCAACCCCATCTCAACTATGCCCCTCCAGAGAGATCTGGAAGAGGCAGTATTGGTAGCAGCCTAGAGAAATGGGAGGCTTATGTAACAGCAACTTACTCAGAGAGCAGGAATCATAAGAGAAGAACTTGACCACTTGACCATGTTTTGGAGGACAGATGTAAAGACAGAAGGTTGAGAGCAGCTGCTCCACTCTGTGGGATGGGGGGAAGATGGATGGATGAAACATTTTTTTTTTCCCTAAGGAATTTTTGTTTTCTGGATAATGTAATCTTCCATTTGCAGACTCTGACCCATCCCTTTGCCCCTTAGAAACTGTTTATTAAATACAGTTGTTTTTTCTGAACTTTGATTCATAACTGTATTTCTTTAGTATCTACCTCTGTGTGGCACCAGATTTAAAGAAGCAAGAAGGCCCACTGGATTGGGCTATTCAACTCGGCACATGAGACGGATGAGACTCATGAGATTCAAGCTGCAAATATTTCCCCCAGTCTGTTATCAGTCTTAAGTGTATGGCATTGTGCTATTTAGGAAAAAATTGTTTTAGCTTTAAATATTTAAAAACAATGTTTATTATGCTTGTGTCAGGATGCATTTGTCTGTAGGTAACAGAAGGCAACACGGAGGGGTTTAACCGATAACCAAGTGTGTCGTCTCATTTAAAAGGAACTCTAGCGGTCAGGGGCCTCAGACAAAGGACTCAGATCTTTCCATCTTTCTGCTTCATCTTTTGGAGCATTGGTGACATCTTAAGGCTGATTCTTCTTGTGGCTGCCTGCCAGTAACAGTCAGGGCTCCATTCCCCCTTGCTCATGTTTGGGGGAAGTAGAATGAGGGAGAGGAAGTCTAGCTTGTCTTGTGGCTCTCTTTTAAGAGAAGAAAGTTTTCTTCCAAAAAACTCCCATCAAACATCTCACCATGTCTCAGACGGTGTCGGCATCTTATCTCTGAAGCCGTCATTGGACAAAAGGAGGGGATTTCTGCATTTGGCTTGAACCAGGGGCTCTCAAAATGGAGTCTGTAGACCAGCAGCAACAGCCCCATTTTGAAATGAAAATTCTCAGGTCCCCACCCCAGACCTGCTGAATCAGAAACACTAAGAATGAGAAACTTCTGGTGGTTCTGATGCCTGCTCAAGTTTGAGACTCTCTGGCTCAGAACCCACTGCTGGAGCTGAGTGAGTTTATATCTCTTGAATCACACCGGCTGCTAAAGGAAGAGATGGACAGCTAAACACAGCTGAGGTTCTGCAGGGAGGAGGGGAGAAATGCACACTTTGTTGGGAGGTACCAACAATGTCTGCTATGTAGGATAAATGATCCCTAAGTTAAAGGCCAGATGACATTTTAATCCTAATTTATGTTTCTTTCAACTTTTATTTTAGAATTGAGGGTAGATGTGCAGGTTTGTTATAGTAC